>NT_167245.2:2718030-2888876 GCF_000001405.40 Homo sapiens
GGCCATGATGAGACCTAGGACTCTTTAGGGGAGAACAACAACAAAGCAACAGGATCCTGGTGTCAGGGACAGACCATGGCCATGGCGGGATGATAGCAGCTCTCCTACGAAATAATGCTTATATGACAAGGGCATGAGATTCAGGCAGAGAGAGGAGAAGGTCATGGAGGAGAGGAGTCCCAGCATCTGAGAAGCCAGAGGGCGATGCATCCTCTCTGCTCTATGGGTGTTTATTGCTGCCATAAAAATTAACACAAAACAAGTGGCTTTAAACAGCATCTCTTTATCATGTCACAGTCATGTGTGTTACAATTTCAACAGTCTCATGGGGCTAAAATCAAGGTAAGGGGAGGTCTGTGTTCCTTCTGACTCTGAGGAAAAATCTACTGTCAAGCTCATTCAGGTTCTTGTCTGAATTCACTTCCTTGCAGATAGGACTGAGATCCCCACTTCCTTGCTGGCTCCTGTCCAGGGGCCACCCTTAGCTCCTAGAGCCCTCTCTCAGTTCCTCACACATATCCCATGCAACATATCCAATCCTCCTGCTTGGAACCTCTGACCTCCCCCTTCTGCGGTGTCTCCTCTGCCTTCCTCCTCTGCAGCATCTGACTCCAGCCAGAGCAGCTTCTCTGCTTTTAATGGCTTGTGAGATTTGATCGGGCCCACACAGATAGTCCAAAATAATCTTGCAATTTTAAGGTCCTTAATCTTCATCACATCAGTATTTTCCCTTTTGCCATGTAATGCAACCTACTCGTGGGTGCCCAGGATTGAGATTGGATGTCTTTGGGAACCATTACTCGGCCCATCACATCTGAGTATGTTGAAGTCACCGAGGATCAAGGAGACAGCACTGCTGGAGAGGGCGATAGTGAACCAGGAACTACAAGAGTCAGGACTGAGAGGAACGGCCTGGGGCCCACAGGGAATGGCTGCAATGAGGGGAGTGGGGCCTGAATCTGATGACAGCTTTGGGGGCTTAGGAAGGAAGGAGGCAGAAAGGTCTGAGAACCACAGTGAGGAGTGAGGATGCCACCCCACCTCTGGGCCAAGGGTACAAGGTCCCTGTGCAAACTCCCCCATGTGGGAGGACTTTGGAAGGGACCACATCCTCTGGCAGACACAGACATCGCTGGAGCTGTGAGGTCCAGGAACATCCTGAGACAGGATGTGGAGGTTTTGCTGATCATGGGCTGAGAATTCCAAGGGGCACAGCGGGAAGACTTCTGGATTTGGGAATGGGGTATGGGGAGACAAAATAGGGGTGTGCAGAGCCTTGTGGGGATGTGAATGCAGGGTGTTTGGGGGACCCAGTGTGACTGACACAAACAGGGAAAAGGCATGATGAGCTCAGTCCTGGTGGACTCAAGGCAGATGATGGTGCTGAGGCTGTGGGAGACGAGGGAGGAGGCTCAGGGGTGGCTTTCACCTGGGCTCTGTCCATGGAGGTGAGGACAGTGAGATAGTTGGGCCTCAGTGCTGTGTGGACCCTTTCTTGTCTCCCTGATGACTGGATGGAGGGCCTGGAGGAAGAGGGGTCTTAGAGGATTCACTCATGTCCCTGGGGGAGGGGGACTCACTCCAGGTCTCAGGTCTGCACTGACACATTTGTTTGTGGCTTGGGGCTGCCTGCTATAAACTATTGGGGGTTCGTCCATTTTGGAGTTATAACCTAAGGCAGAAACTCAGATGGTTCAAATGTCCTCTTCATGAAGCAATGTTATCAGCGTATAATTTAGATTGTCTTGCAAGAGTCTCATTTGTTGTTTTTCTAAATGCCTGCCAATATTGTTTGAAAATCTACAAATGTGATAAATGTATCTTCAAAGTTAACTGGTTGCAGGTTGTTTAACCTTATATGTACAGTTTCACATATGTATAAAAACAGTAGTTTGGGCCTCTTATATTCTAATAATTAAGACTTTAAGCTGTGTACACATTGCAATGCAAGTATGCGTCATGCATAACCCTAGCACTAAGAGTCAAGAGGGAAAGTACCTCTCCCCTAACATTTTACAAAGTTTCTGTGTTCTTTTTCCACTGAGTGGGAACAAGTCAGCTAGTGAGGAACATGAGGCCTTTGGCCTCATCTAAAGATACTTTAGCTACCAATTGTGAGAAGCACTGACCACCGGGAAGGCCTCCCTGCCTGGTTCCTGGACCTCTATACCATGGCAGAGGCCATCTTCCCTCCTAGTGCAGAGTGATGTCCCAGGTAGTGACCTGGTTAGCCATTGTCCACTCTCGGGCAGTTTTGCCTTCTAAGACATTGGTTTTTCTCTGAGGACCTCCCTGTTTTCAGATGATCAAAACTGGGGCCATCCACTCCCTTCTGAACCACCTCTGCCCAGTGGCCTGTGGCTGTGCCCCCAGTCACAACAGGACACCCCTTCAGAACACGCTGCAGGAAGCCGACATCTCTACACAGGCTCACACATGCACAGTGTGTGCACGGAGCTTTGGTTCTAGTTCAGGAAGAATGGGAGGAGGCTCACTAGTCCAACAGAGCTTGAGCCCTGTACCAGTGTCATATTCCAGGAGCCAGAGTTACAAGGGATACAAAGTGCCCAGACCTACCAGAGAAGGCAAACCCCTACAGCATGCAGGGCTAGACAGGGGCAAGAAACAAGGTCATTCTGGGCCAGCAAGAAGAGGGAAAGGGAAATTACAGTCATACTTCAGATATATGCAGGTTTGGCTCCAGACCATGGCAACAAAGCAAGTCACACAAATTTTTCAGTTTCCCAGTGCATATAAAAGTTATATTTACACTTGACTGTAGTCTCTTAAGTGTACAATAGCATTATGTACAAAATGAACTATGTACATACCTTAATGTAAAACTACTTTATTGCTAAAAAATGCTAACAATCACCTGAGGCTTCAGCTAATCCTAACCTTCTTGCTGTGGAGGGTCTTGCCTCAATGTTAATAATTGCTGACTGATCAGAAGGGTGGTTGCTGAAATCGCTGTGGCAATTTCTTAAAATAACACAACGAAGTTTGCAGCAAGATTATTCTCCTCACTTGGACACTTAGAGGCCATTGTAGGGTTACTAATCGGCCTGCCTTCAATATTTTTGTGTCTCACAGAATAGGGAAGGCCGGGAGAGAGAGAGAGAGTCAAGAAACCAGCCAGTTGGTGGAGAAGTCACAACATACACAACATTTATCAATAAGGTTCACCATTTTATAAGGGTGTGGGTCATGGTGTCCCAAAACAGTTACGAGAGTAACTTCAAAGATCACTGACCACAGGTCACCATACAGGTGTAATAATGAACAAGGTTGAAATACTTCAAGAATTACCAAAATGTGACACAGAGACATGAAGTGAGCACATGCTGTTGGAAAAATGGTGCCAAATAGACCTGCTTGACACAGGGTTGCCACAAACATTCGGTCTATAAATAAAAAAGCAAGAAAAAAGAAAGAAAGATGGAAAGAAAGAAAAAGCAAAGGAAAAAATGCAGTGTCAGCAAACAGTAATAAAGGAAAGCACAGTGGAAGGTGCACCTGCAAAGGGGAAATCAGCACTGAAGCAAAGTCAGGAAAAGCTTTCAAGTCAGATGGGCCTGGACCTGGGCATGAACCCTCCAGGTCCTCCCACCAGCCAGCTGAAGAGGCCTGAGCACATCTGACCCAGAGCTGGCCCCGACAGACACTTGCCCAGTGAGTGAGTGCTGAATGAAACCATCTGAGCCAGTTTCCTCATCTGCAAACCAGTGACATAATTCCTGCCTTGCAGAGTTTCAGAAGAATAAGTGAGAAAAGACACAGTGCCAAGAGAAACAGACACAAGACCTGTGGCGGGCTGGACACCAGGGCTCTAAAGCAAGTTCTGCCTAAACTGGCAAGAACATTTTTCAGGTCAGGAACAGGAGTTGTTCTGGATTCTGTCTGGGGTCAGGCTGGGAGGGAGCTGGGGGTGGCAGAGTAGGATGGGGGCAAGGGCTGTGGCAGGGCCTGGCACTGAAGTGAGGCCAAAGCCTGGAGAGAGTGGCTCCTGGTGGCTTTTGGGCAGCTCACGCAACTCCCTGCCTCACCCACTGTGTGAGTCAGCGTTCTCTAGAGGAGCAGAACTAATAGGATGTATGTACATATGTAAGGGAGTTTATTAAGGAGAATTGACTCACACGATCACAAGGTGAAGTCCCACGACAGACCGTCTGCAAGTTGAGGTGCAAGAAAGCCAGTGATGGATCAGTCCAAGTCCCAAAACCTCAAAAGTAGGGAAGCTGACAGTGCAGCCTTCAGTCTGTGGCCAAAGGTGTTTGGCTGCAGATTCCAGGACAGGACCTTCTTGTCCTCTGCAGTGACCCCCCACCTCGCCTGACTATATCTGTCCAACTTGATGGTGCCACCGAGGGTTCTGATGCAGGGAAGGAGCTGTGTGCTCTGTGTGGGAGGATGCCTTCTGCCTTTCTAGCTGGGCCTCAGGTCAGGGCTTTGAGCCTGAGCAGGGAGAGGAGATGGAAGGGAGATGGCCTTGGAGCAAACGTCTGCCCCTGCCAGTGCATCCCGTAGGTATCATCCCATCCACCAGTGCCTTGGCAGGACCCCACTCACTCAACCCTCCCCCTGGTGGTAGTCCCTGGTGGTGCCTCCTCAGGACCTCCTGCCTCCAGCCGCACAAATCCCCAAGAATGGCACGTGGGTACAAGGGTGTTGGGAAGTGTCATCCTCCAGTGCTGACTTGAGTGTGTGTGTGTGGCTGCACACGTGTGTGCATGTGTGCACAAGTGGGAATTGGAGTGTGTGTACACGTGTGTAAGTGTGAGTGTGAGAGTGGAGCATGAATGTGCAGGTGCCCACAGGCAGCAGTTGGGGTGCCAGTGTCCTCACTCCTGCCTGCTTTCCTTTCTCTCCAAAACGTGACCACACAGCAACTTAGTGACTATCTAGATTTAAGTCTATCAAACAGAAGGGAAACACAACTAGGATTCCTGTAGTGTAGGGAAGGGAAATGCCTAGCCCAGCTCTCTGATTCCCCTTTTAATGGGTTTGAGCTGCAATATGGGTGCAGAAGAGCCTCCCACAGTGCCACTGGTGGTGGAGGAAATAGCCCCTCTCATTGGCCCATTTTCACGCTGCTGATAAAGACATACTGGGAAGAAAAAGAGGTTTAATTGGACTTACAATTCCACATGGCTGGGGAGGCCTCAGAATCATGGCGGCAGGTGAAAGGCACTTCTTACATGGCAGTGGCAAGAGAAAATGAGGAGGAAGCAAAAGCGGAAACCCCTGATAAACCCATTAGATCTCGTGAGACTATCACAAGAATACCACGGGAAAAACTGGCCCCAGTGATTCAGTTACCTCCCCCTGGGTCCCTCCCACAACATGTGGGAATTCTGGGAGATACCATTCAAGTTGAGATTCGAATGGGGACACAGCCAAACCGTATCACTGGATGAGAGCAATTAGATTGATGTCATGATGTATATGGGTCCATGGGAACTTGAAAAAGTCTTCCCCTTCCACCTAGTTTAACAAGATAAACAGGAAAGGAACTTCCCTTAAGGGAAGATATTGACTCTATCCCTGAAATTAAATCACAAGAAAATAAGAAATGCATGAGATCTAAACTAAGCCATTTGGGTAAACTGTCTCAGAATTTAAAGCATCAGCAGTCACAAGCTATCAGTATCAGTGACGATTCTTTCACTCCATGGTCTAGTCCAACGAGACTGGTCAGGGCTTGCCGCCTGCTCCTCGGTGCTGTCCTGGTACTTTGAAAGTATCTGTGATTCTGTGAACTGCACCGCCAGCTGCCCAACAACTTCCCTTTGCTGATCTGAGCCAGACTCTGCTTTTATGGCTTACACCCAAATAATTCAAGTTATTTTAAAAAAATAATAATAAATCAAGTTATTCATTTATGAGTTATACAGTCCCATGTGGGGAAAGGGAAGGAGAGTGAGGTAATACTCAATTTTACTACCTGCTATGCATTTATAAGTGAGATACTTCTTTTTAAAGTCATATTTTTGGATTAGAACAAACTCTGGTATATTTAAGTAAATTCCCTGAAGAATGTGAACACCGTAAGCAGGTGAGTGCATTATTCTCTGCTTCCCCTCCACAGAGCTGTGGTTCACTCTCCTCCATCCTGCCCCCTGCACTGGGGGCACCACAGAGACAGCACGGCCTGTGCTCCTGCACCACCTGCTTCTGCTTGGGTGTGGATGATAACAGGCACCTGCAGGAGATGGGAGCGTGGGGGGAGAAGTAACTCAGGGTTTTCACTTCCCTCACTCCCTTTGGACAGCTCTGCGGTTCTGTAATCATTGCCGTCCTCTACCTACAGCCACAGGCCTGCGGGGCTGCCCCTAGTGAAAGCTACAGATTTCCGTGAGTTCTGGAAACTGCTCCCTCTTCCTTGTTCTTTCAACTCAGAGATGGAAACAGTTTCCTGCCACTGATCATCCCAGGGAGCTTCAGCACCCCTTGTGGCTTTCTTAGGCCTGCCAGCACCTCTGTAATGTGTGTCTTCTTTCTTTGTCATCTCTTTCCTGCCAGGACCCTGACTGTCCCACAGAAGAAGTGACAAGAATTTATTTATGACATGACAATAACACATGTATTCATGGTGTTAATTCGATTTGTTTCATAGAGACAGGGTCTTGCTATGTTGCCCAGGCTGGTCTTCCACTCCTGGCCTCAAGCAATCCCCCTGACTTGGACTTCCAAAGTGCTAGCATTACAGGTGTGAGCCATTGTGCCCAGCCCTTAACTTGAAAATCTGACAGTATAATAAAAGAAAAAAATAGAAGTATTCTGGAAATGGAAGAGGAAAGAAGGCTAAGGTGGAAATCATCAATCTGTGTCATCTGAGAAGCCCCACGTGCAGAGGCTGTCCCGGGACTTTAGGGGAGAACAAAAACAAAGCACCCAGGATCCTGGTGTCAGGGACAGAGCATGGCCACGGCGGGATGGTAGTGGCTCTCCTATGAAATAATGCTCATAAACATCCCTTGTGAGAAGGATCAGATCAACATATAAAAATATGCCAAATAAAGTGAAACTCAAGGCAGGAGTGGGACTGGCCATTCTCAGCCCGTGACCTCCATGGACTTGGAGAAAGGCTCAGCCTGGAGATGTGTGAGGCCTCCGACCTGGAGCAGCACCCGCCCCTAAAGACCAGGCACAAATCCCAGCACATGGAGGGATCCAGACAAATACACAAGAGATGACCACAGCAGGAGCTTTACTGGGCACAGAGCGAGGCCGCACACCACTCAGCTCCTGCCCCTCCACCTGCCCTTCTCTCCCCACCTGCCCCTGCCCCAGCACAGCAGATCCTCAGAATCCAAAAAGAGAACCTAACTTCCATGTTTTATTAATGGCTTATAATATTTTATCACATCTTCAGAAAACACTATGCAGAAGATAACTGTAGAGCAAGACATCTATTTAGGGTGAGTGAGTCACAGTGGAGATCTGGGAGGGAGACCCTGTAACCCTTTCATTCCAAGAAAAGAAAGGTAGATCCAAAGAAGGGGACCCCAGGCCTGGATATTGGGATTACATGAAAGGGGTTCTGGGGCATCAGGGGAATGGGTCCCTCTCCCTACATCCTCCCGGGGCTGTGCTTGGGAGGACAGCAGCTGGGGGAAGAAAAGTCAGGGTCCACAGAGATATAAGGGGGCTGAGAACTATCTGTGTCTTGCTGGTCTGCACAAGGCAGCTCTCAAACTGTGGAGAACATGGTAATGACCAGATTCAGCTCAGCCACTCTCAGCCTTTACACCTAGAGCATTATGGGCAGCCCATCACCATCCCCTACCTTCAAATCCAAAGATCGCTACAGCCCAAAGCTGCTCCCTGGCCTCAACTCCTGTTGGTATCAGGCCCCAAGGAAGCTGTGAGCACGTCTGCCTGGGACCCTGTCACCATCTGGAGAATGACAATAAAGAGGACCCAGCAGCCTGCAGGAGGAGACTGTATTTGAGGCAGGACCATGGGATGGGTGAGGCACAGGACTGTGGCTCCATCCTCTCTATTTGAGGAGTTAGAGATGAGCTGCCTCTGCCACCCCTTCCATGGTGATATTTCTAGAGTACACCCCTGTGCTGAAATTCTTATGAGGAAAGAGACCTGATGAGATGCTATGGTGAAGAGGGGCCATAAGGGTCTTGAATACCAAGTTAATTTTGCTACCAGCTGAGATTAGGAAGTGAAACCCAGGACCCAGGAGAGGAGGAGGAGGAGATAACACAGGACCCTGTGATCACTCTCCTGGCCATCTGTGTACAGTGAGACGCTTCCCTTCGGGGTTGGGAGCACCCAGTGTCATGGTCCTGAGTGTTGCTACCCTGCTGTTCTCATCTGTGAATGCAGCCAGACCACTTTCTTCCTCTGATATAAATAACTTGGAGGATCTGTCACCAGACACCTCATATCTACATATTAATAAATTCTGTACAGTGGTTTGGCTTAATGTTTTATATGTTATAAGAAATAAGCAAAACATAGGGATGATATTTTTAGTAAAGGTATTTCAGGGTATATAAGAATCAGATTCCTAGGGCCCTGGGTACCTCATCTTGCTGTTTAAAGTCCTCATGGAGGATCAGTGGAGTGCAGAGCCCAGAAATCATCCTGAAGGCTGAAGCTCCCTGGTGAAAAGGACCCTCTCCTGCACCCTGGGGCTCAGAGGGAACAACAAAGCTCCCTCCCAGGGTCTCCAGCCTCTGGCCTATACTGTCAGCCTGCACTTTCTTGGCCTTCCTGGCTGCTAATATTCCAGTTCCCAGCAGCCTCCTCTCTCACCCTTCACCTCTTCTGACTGGGTGCGAATGGTAACTAGACCAGGCAGTGCCCTCCTTGTCAGTCTGCCTGTCTGCCTGGCTCCCTCTCAGAGTTTGTGTCTTCACTCGGTTCATCATCCCCAGCCCCAGCAGGAACAGGGAGAAGTGACTTGGCAAATGCCCCACTCAAAATGGGATCCCTCAACCAGAGACCACTTGTGAAAGTCAGTTTTCCCTGACTAAAGAAACAGGACATTTACCCTGTTAGAAGTTGATGTCTGCCAGAGACCTCCACCTGGGAAATGCTGGTTCATGGCAGGGTCTCTCTTTTAGTAAAGGGAAAAATTCCTGGCTAATTGATAGCTAATAAGTCATTTAGAATCCAGTTCATGTAAAAGGATTACCTACTTAAAGGATTAACTCCATTATAATAAGGACACACATCCCACACCGCACATCCAATGTCATTTGTGAGATTGCTTTGATTCGCTCATGTAGAATGTTACTCTGCTGCTTTGCAGAGAGGCTTGCCACACATTTCAAATCTCTGCTCTTCATTTCACACCATCTGGCTCATGAGGTGAAGGTGATGAGAAGTGTCTTCAGACAATACTCCGAGGTTTGTCTATCAGAGTCATAGTCATATATTACATATAGAGATTATTTTCTTAGAAGTTGTAATTTATTGATATGTATTTTACTCATGGCATAGATAGATACTATCCAACAATTCGTTTTTATTACCTCTACATTACACTGCTTAGGTAGCCACTACTGGTACCTCTGCATTTTCTTTCTTGTATGTGACATTAACGTATAAGATTGTATGTACATGGTGGCTTGGTTTCCAGGAATTGCTGATTAGGTAATTTAGACCATTCCTTCCACTGAGTACAATGGGAAAAGGAGGAAAACATACATATTTGAAAAATCTGGTTGAGCAAATGGATGGGCTAACAAAGCAGTGAAGATTTGCCTGGCCAGGAACCAGGAGAGGGGAGAAATCCAGAAGAGCAACTTGAGCTGTGGGGCTGCTTTTGTGGATCAGAGGCAGTAACACCTGCTCCCTGGCCAGAAGCCAACTTCCAGGATTCAGGACTCAGAATTCAGAACTTAGACGGTCCCTTGGTCTCTCTAGAATTCAGTGCTCATTTAGACCGGGCTAAGACCCTCACACTCAATGGCTGGAGGATCCAAGCTTATGGCATGACTGCCTCTGGAGCATTTCATGCTAGAGAGATCCCAACAGGTGTAGGTAAATGGTCTAGAGGGTACTAGCCAGGCTTCCATGGAACTCTGTGTAAGGCACTTCCCTGTGTTGTTACTCATGTTGGCCATGTCCTCGGGAATTTAGTGGAACGGCCATGTCGTCTTGAGTGGAAGTGAGGACGGTGAGGGGGTCCCTGGGCAGTCAGAGATTTTGTGTCCCTGCGTCCTTTCCTTCCATCTCAACCAGAGACCACTTGTGAAAGCCCAAGAACAAATGTCATTAAATGTCCGAGGCGAATCCAAGACCACCGATCCATTGTGCCCAGGAGCCTTGGGCCATGTAGCCCAGCAGTAGTGAGGTCTGTGAGGCCTTGGTCACCCTCAAAGTGTTGCCCCAAGAGGAGCTGCCGCTCGTTGCCATCAGGCACCTCAGGAGCTGGACATGGTATTCATTATAATTTCTGATGAGGAACTAGAGAGGTCTCATAGCATATAGACCTTGATCAAATTGGGTCATGGTGGAGTCAGGCAAAACTCTGCAATGACTCACAGGTACCTAAGTATAAAACAAAGTCTCAACTCAGAGCATCCATCAGAGCTTCAGGCTCAGTAGTCATTCCTTTATGCTGTTGCTGTGTTTGTACTGTGATAACTGGTGCTTGAAGGGAGGACATATAGTTACATGTTGCGGGAAAACACATGTCATTAGAAAACTTGGCATGATTTAGGGACCATTGCCTTTTCCATGGTAGATGTGGGACTCTCTGTCATCTTCACCCTGTTGTTCCAAGTGCAGAAGAGAAAGCTTCTTCCTGCTTTCAGCTGCGTGACTGACAACGGAAGCTGGAATTCAGAGAATCAGTGGCAGCCTCTGTCTCTCCAGGCCCCAACCCTGCAGGTTTAAGGAATGGACTTAGGTCTCTGGCACTTTGTTCTCAACACACATTTTCCTTCACTCATTCAGAAAAAAAAAAATAATAATAGAAAATGAACCAAAGGCTGCAATTCTCATGGCACCTAGAGAATTGGAGTACGGACCAAGGTTGCCACATGCCTGTCATTGCTCCACCACACTCGGTTGCCGTGTGACCTCGGGAGAAGCTCTCTACCACTAGGGACTTTTAAACTCATCTGTGAATCCTGGATAAACACAGACATTCCGGTAACCTTACTGAAATGAAGTGAGGACCAATGAGTTGACAGGTGGAGAAAAAAAAATTTTTTTTTTTTTTTTGAGACGGAGTCTTGCTCTGTCACCCAGGCTGGAGTGCAGTGGAGCGATTTCGGCTCACTGAAAGCTCCACCTCCTGGGTTCATGCCATTCTCCTGCCTCAGCCTACCGAGTAGCTGGGACTACAGGCGCTCACCACCACACTCGGCTAATTTTTTGTATTTTTAATGGAGACGGGGTTTCACCATGTTAGCCAGGATGGTCTCGATCTCCTGACCTCGTGATCCGCCCGCCTTGGCCTCCCAAAGTGCTGGGATTACAAGCGTGAGCCTCCGCGCCCGGCCGCAGAAACAGAAAAATTTAAGTGATGGCCTTTACTCCTAGACAGGGCTTTTTTAGGAACATGCACCTTAAAAGTAGGAGGAAAACATAATGCCAGCAACACCCTGCCTAAAAGCCCCTTTAGTGATGATAATTATCATTCATCTTTCTATAAAAGTACAGCAAGACTTTCTACCTCAATATCTCAAATCAGTTAAATATATCTTCTGATCATATACCAGTGTGGACCCACATGTTCTGCTCCAAGTGAAAATGAAAAGGAATGAGAACATCTCCACCTTTGTGTGGTGACCATGGGACCACGGAGGCTTGGAAGCCAGCCTACATCTGCCCAAACTCTACATCACCTGCCATTGTCAATTTTCAATCTATCCGTTCTATGCTTTGGAATCCTACATAATTCATACTCTTGAAAAATCTCATTTTCATATGTAGGGCAGGGTAGAAAAGGTGATATCTCTGTTTTAATTTGCTAAGACTTCCATAATAAAGTGGCACAGACTGGGTAAGTTAAACAGTAGAAATGTATTATCTCCCAGTTCTGGAGGCTACAGGTCCACGATGGAATGTATTGCAGGGCTGATTGCTCCTGAGGCCTGTCTCTGGCTTACAGATGGCCATCTTCTCCCTCTATCTTGTCAACATTGGCCTCAAAATATGTGTACAGGGACACAGTTTAGCCCATAAGAGTCTGCGCCATCCTTGGCGGTGCATATTATAAGAAATAAAAGAGAATACAACCCTTTGGCTGGACTCTGTTGATATTTTGAAATGTTGGTCTTGCAATAAGAACACCACCAAAGGCCAGGCGCAGTGGCTCACGCCTGTAATCCCAGCACTTTAGGAGGCCGAGGCGGGCGGATCACGAGGTCAGGAGATCGAGACTACCCTGGCTAACATGGTGAAACCCCTTCTCTACTAAAAATACGAAAAGAAAAATTAGCCGGGCGTGGTGGTGGGTGCCTGTAGTCCCAGCTGCTCGGGAGGCTGAGGCGGGAGAATGGTGTGAACCCAGGAGGCAGAGCTTGCAGTGAGCCAAGATCTCGCCACTGCACTCCAGCCTGGGCGACAGACCAAGACTCCATCTCAAAAAAAAAAAAAAAAAAAAGAACACTACCAAAACAAGGGAGCCGAAGTTTAGTTTTCCCTGGAAGGTGAGCACTCCCTCAGCCTGGCCGCCCCAGGGCAGCAAGACCCAGTGCTATGTAGTTCTCCAAAGTCCTATTTACTTTAGTGATTCTGATTCTGTATTTTTAACTGGGAAAAGGATTCTCTTTCAGGAAAGCAACCACTTCTGATGCTATTTAGGTATTATTCTCCTTATACTTATAGGAGAAAAAATTGATGTTAATGAACAGGAAATATTTGCCAAATTATCACACAAATAATTTTTGTATCATTTTAAAATACTCCTTATTGTACTGAGCTTGTTGGTATTTTAATAAAAATTATTGGCACATAATATTTATACATACTTTGGGGTACACATAATATTTTCATGCATGTGTAGAATGTGAAATGATCGAGTCAGGATATTTAGGATACTCATCACCTCAAGCATTTATCAGTTATTTGTGTTGGGTGAATTTCAAATCCACTCTTATAGCTATTGTGAAATACACAATACATTGTTGTTAACTACAGCCAGCCTGCTGTGCTATCGAATATTAGAATTTATTCCTCCTATTTAACTGTATCTTTGTACCCATTAAGCTACCTCGTTTTATCTCCCAGATCCCCCACACACCCTTCCCAGCTTCTGGTAACTATTATTCTACTCTCCACCTCCATAAGATCAACTTTTTTTCAGTTCTCACATGTGAGTGAGAACATGTGATATTTGTCTTTCTTTGCCTGGTCTATTTCACTTAACATACTGACCTCCAGTTCCATCCATGTTGCTGCTAGTTATTATGAGGTAGTTTTAGCTGGAAGAATAGAGAATTAAAAGAAATCTTTGTGAAGCCCCTACCCAGGTTTGTCAATTTGTAACATTTTAATATTATTGGCTATATGTAGTATAGATAGAAAATAATAGAAATATATGCAGATAGCCCTGATTCTCCACAGTTCTGTTATGTATGTGTTTCCGCGGAAACACATACAGTACAGTACTCTATGTACTGTACAGTACTACTGTACTGAGTACTGGACTGCCAGTGGGGAGTGGCGGATGTCTTGAATTTGGTGAATGCCTTTATATTGCTACAAAGTGTTTTTTTTTTTTGGTTGTTTGTTTTGAGACGGAGTCTCGCTCTGTCGTCCAGGCTGGAGTGCAGTGGCGCGATCTCGGCTCGCTGCAAGCTCCGCCTCCCGGGTTCACGCCATTCTCCTGCCTCAGCCTCCCGAGTAGCTGGGACTACAGGAGCCCACCACCACGACCGGCTAATTTTTTTGTATTTTTAGTAGAGACGGGGTTTCACTGTGTTAGCCAGGGTGGTCTCGGTCTCCTGACCTCGTGATCCGCCCGCCTCAGCCTCCCAATGTGCTGGCGTGAGCCACCGCGCCCGGCCTACAAAGTTTTTTAAATCCTTTCATTTGACATGATTTTAGACTTTGTAAAAATTGTTTTTTGTTGAATGTATCATTCTGTGGCTTGCTTTATCGTTTAATATGGTCTATGAGGTGAACCCACACACCCATAGAAACAGTTCATTTGTTTTCAGTGCTGGATAGTATTTATGAGACGAATATCCCACAATTTATCTCTTCTCCTGTCCGCGACCTTTAGCTTGTTTCTGTTACAGACACTGCCACAATGAACATCCTGGGTCATCTCTCTCTGGTCACCTGTGTGAGTTCCCCAAGATACGGATGTAGGAATGGGATTACTGTGCTTTTACCATGTGATGTTATAGGATGTCAAATTGTTCTCTGAAGAGGTTGTATCAACTCCCCCCTTTAAAATCTTCTTTGACATTTTACAGGTCAAGTTATCTTCCTCCCCAACTAGCTGCTCCTCCTCAGTCCCCCTTCAGTGGCTCCTTTTGCTGTAGATGCTGGAGCACTGTGGGGTTTTACTGCCTCCCAATCACTCTAGTGTCCTCCACTCCCAGGATTTTAAATATCGTCTAGACACAGATGGCTCCCAAATATATATCTCTACATATTTCTATAATCAAAAAACTAATGGTACCAAAACAGGTACTCTGATATATTGCAGATGGGCCTGCAAACTGGAAATGTTTTCAGGAAAGGCAGTATGGCAATTTCTGTCTAAATTAAAAATGCATACACCCAGTAGTCCCACTTCTAGAAATGTGTCCAAAAATAGACCTGCATTCCTGAAAAATGACTGTATTCAGAATTATATGTTGCAACCCTGTTTGTAAAATCAAAAAGGAAAGAAGAAAGAAACTGAAAGATAAAAGAAAAAATAATCCAAATGTCTGTCACTAGCGGACTAGTTAAAAAAGCATTGCAAGCTGAGCACAGTAGCATTCACCTGTGAATACACTCTACTCCACTCTGGGTAACATGAGGAGGCCTCCCTACCTTCCTAAGAAAACCCAAACAAGCACTGCATATCTACACAGCGGAGTCTACAAACATTTAACACAAAAGAAGAAAGACATAGGAAACTCTTGATATTCCCTCATGGGATGGTCTCCATGATACATTGTTAAGAAGAAATAAAGCAAGGTGTAGAATAACATATAGAGTCTGCTAAAATTTGTGTGAAAAGGGACAAAGAGATATATATACACATTTATATTTGCTTGCATATGCATAAAATATATTTGGAAGAATAAGCAAGAAGATATCCCTGGTTGCCTGTTGGGGATGAGACAGGGTAAGAAAGAGACATTTTACCTTTTGAATATTTTGAATTTTGAATTTTGAACTATATCAAGAAATAAAAGATAATTCCTAGGGCAACCAAACAAACCCCAAAAAAATTCAAAATGAAAAACCTTTTAAAAACTAATAGAATTTTTTTACCTTTATTAAAATACATTTTAAAAATTTTCTAAATATTATATTATTCCTTTAACAAGGAGGTTTACCGCCATTTTAATTCAGTACGTTGTTTTCTTTTTAATTGCATGATCTTTCTTTACATCTATCTTTTTTCCATTACAAGGTAAAATAACAGCATGATTAATTAAATGCAATTTGTTTGGTGAATGAAATTTTGTTCAAATCTTGGTCTAAGTGGGAAAGGGATTCTAGGGGATCCAGTGCAGCAGTTATGGGTTTCAGTATGCTCACGACGCCCTCCAGTGTTTGTGTGGGCTCATGGATGCCATATCTAGAAAACACTGGAATTCTCAAGCACACGTGACTGAAGCCATTTGCCAAATGTTCAAGGTCTTATTAATGGCCCATCTGAGTACTTGTCATACGCAGTCACCCTATCTTTGGATCAGAAGGTACACTCAGAGCTCCTAGTGTCACATCCCAGGCCCAACCTGCTGAGAGCAGTCGAGGAAGGTCTGGAGGTCAGTGTCGTGAGGGGTGGGAAGACTGAGGGTGTGGGGGCCAGTTGTGGAGTGGCGGGAGCCCCAGGTGCTGTATGAAGCCGAGCCTCTGGATCACCCTGTGACCCCACATTTGGTCCCTTCCTGGGTGTCTTCCATTCCCAGGACTCCCAGGAAATAAAATGCTGCAAGATTGGGGTGGGGAGCTGTCCAGGGTGGGTCAGGTGTGGTCTCACTGATCCTACACCTCTGCCTCCCAGCCCACTCCCAGCCCTCTTCTGATATTAGAAACCAACACAGATTGCCTTAGGGTGGTGGTTCTCAAAGTGTGGTCCTGGGGGAAGCAGCATTGGCATCACCTGGGAACTTAGATATGCAATCTTCAGGGCCTGGCCTGGACCTACTGTATCAGAAACTCTGCATTTAACAAGCCCCCAGCAGAATTCTGCTTTTCAAATCAGATCTCTCTCTCTCTCTCTCTCTCTCTGTGTGTGTGTGTCTCTCTCTCTCTCTCTCTCTCTCTCTCTGTGTGTCTCTCTCTCTCTCTCTCTCTCTCTGTTTCAAGTCTCAATATTCAGTAGCTGTGACTTCTGGATAGTCAGGTGTCAGACACCCTTTCTTGCCAGGAGGCACCAGGCTCCTCAATCAGCTTAGTCTCATTCTTGGCCTGGCCCAGGGAAAGATGTTCACTTCCTGGATTCTGAGCAAAGCTCTCCTATCCTGGGTGCCTGTGGGGCTCCCACTTACACCACAAAACAAAGCTCAAATAATATTTTTTTCTTTTATGAGATTTTTGGTATTCCTTCATTAGTCAGAGCTGAAGATCTACATATATGTCTACCAAGCAAGTGTGCATGTCCCACTAGCCAGTTTGTTAGTCTTGCCAATGCACCACAACGTAGCAGCCTCTCAGTCTCTCCTTGTGAGGTGTTACCTGGAGTTCTTTGTCTCACCACCAAGAGAATTAAGGAGCGTGGATACAAAGGGTGAGGTTGGAGCAAAAGTTTAATAAGCAAAAGAAGAAAGCTCTCCCCTGCAGAGAGGGGGCTTGGAAGATGGTTGCCATTTTTACAGCTGAATGCAAAGGCTTTTACAAGAAACTGATGAGGGCTGGGTGTCTCATTTGCATAAGGCACGAATTTCCGGTAGCTCCACCCCATCCTCCTAGTGCCCATGCAGGCCCTTAGCTTGAGTTACTCCATATTGCTTTGTTTCCCTGACTGCCCATGTATCGGGGGACAGAATTTTCCATTGCGGGCATGTCTGGACAAGTCTCCTGTGCAGCCTTTCTTATTTGTGCAGCTGTGGGCATGTCTTAGGCAAGCCCCCCTGTGCAAGTTCCCTTCTCTGTGCCTGCAGGCCGTTCTTTTGTTTGAAATAATTCAACTGAGAACCCACCATAACTGCCCGCCTGACCAGTTTCTTCCTTTTTTTCTCTCTCAATTTGTGTTATGATTTCCTTACTGATCTCTGCCTGAGCAAGACTGGGCACGCCTTGAGGGCAAGGAGGGTTTATTTCCTCTTACCTCAGTTCCAGCTCCTCTTAAAACAATGCCCCACGCACAGTAGGTATTTGATAAATGTTTACCAAATGAAGGGATTGCCTGGAATGGCTTGGCAGACAGGAAAGCAGAATGAAAACCCACAGGCCAAAAGTGGCTGGGAAAAGATTTTCCAAATCCTAGTGCTGGGCACAGGGCCCACTGAAATTCACTTTCGGAACCTTCCCATCTGTCTTGTTCTCCTCTCATCAGGGACTTCCATGCCCCTCAAAGCCCACCTAGTCACACACTACCTTTCAGGACCACCTTCCAGATCAGCCAGGTACAAATCCCACAGACTTCCTGCCTGTGGCTCCAAATGCTCAGCTGAAATTCTGAGGCTAATTTCAGTGGAGTTAGAGGCTTATCCCTTAGGAGTGGCAATGGCTGGCTTTAAGATTCGAGAAGTAGTGTTTACATCTCAAAAGAGAAGACCGCTCCACCAGAAATGCAGAGTTTTTGTATGTGCGGGTCCGGGGTCTTCAGGAGATAAAGAATGATAGCTCCAGGAGCGCTGGGACCCCCGTGCAGCCACCAGTCACCACAGCCTAGGCAGGGGTTGGGCTCTCACCTCGGCCCCTCCCCTGCACGCCCTGGATGTGGATGGTCCCCGAGTGTGAACTCGCCTGGGCTCTGACCCTGGGTGCTCTTCCCGCCGTTGTGGAGCCTCTGCGGGTGTGGTGCATGCACAGGGGGCTTCACAGGAGACCCGGGGCCCTTTAGAGTCTCAAGGCCAACATTCTTGGAGAATCCATGTCAGGCATTCAGGCTCTCAGAGACTCAGATGCCCAAACTATGAAAATGAGAGAATCTATCCCACTCTCTCAGGTGTGGTGAGATTCCTATTATATGACTATCGGTCATCTATACATGGATTGTACTCTCAGAGTTGCCTTTATCAGTCGGCCAATGCCTAAAACCCAAAGATGGGTCAGGCATGGTGGAGGAAGAGTTCCTTTCTTACCTTCTGAAGGTGCCATCAACAGGAATTTCTACCCTGTGGAGTCTAGAGGAGACTTTCCTTGAAGCTGAGTTGGGAATGGACATTTGGACTTTTTTTTTTAAGAGTTAGTAACTCCGTGGAGAACCACACATTTATTTGCTTACTTTAATTCTACAGCAACATTCGAAGTGGCTTACTGCAACAAACCCAGTGTAATAAATACATACGAATTACTTTAAAATAACACCAAGGAAAATATACATTTTAAAAGATTAAGGCTGGGGTAAAGCTGGAACATTACTAGGCGGGAAGGAACATCTGAAACATTTGCTGAAATGGAGTTGACCCTTTACCTAGCCATAGATTTGTTGCCTCACGATTTCATTACATCTGAGCACCAGGGAGGGGGGTGGCAGTTCAGGTCACCAGTCCCTTGTTTCCTGCTTCAGGAACAGTGTCCTGTTCTATACTTACAGTCAAAGCAAATTACATCGTTGTAAGATGTTTAATGATGAAGTCAAAGTCCACAGAGTCAGCAAGTAAGTGTAAAAACCTCAGGAGTCCAAGGACAGTCTACGTTTCTCCCCAGAAATGGCCTCACTATGCACTGTTGAAGGGAGAGGGTCCTTTCAAGGGGCCCCAAGATGCAGGAGCAATTGGGCTGCAGCTCTAAATAAAGATGTCCTTTCTACCTGCAGGTTCCACAAAACCTCACAGGCAAATTTGGTGATCTCACCTGAGCTAGGAATTCGGTTTTTTGACGTGGGTTCTCTTTGAGCCCTTGTGTGAGCTTTAAAATGTGACGTGGAGATTTTGCTATACTGGTATTTCCTTGGTGGAATTTGACATCCACAGTGGCTCTGGCTTCCCTGTCTGGTCCCAGGAGGAAATGGAGTGTCCTGCACTTTTTTTCAGCATCGCTTTGTGTAAGAAGGATCAGGAGACCTGGAGTCAGGGGCTCCTCCAATCTCACTCTCCTTCATAAAACAGTGTCCCTTAAGCTTTCTGGGGGTGAGGGCCTTAACACCGTGCTGTTCTGATGAATATAATTGTCCCAGCTCCCGAAACAAAAGCACAGGTGCACAAAATACCGACTGTTGCAAGCAATGCCAAGGTGGGGATGTTTCCTAGGTGCCAGGTTTAGCACTTTGACTTTGTATGTACACACACAGGGGCCAGGCGTTGTGGTTTATGCCCGTAATCTCAGCACTTTGGGAGGCTGAGGCATGAGAATTGCTTGAAGCCAGAAGTTCAAGACCAGCATGGGTAACAAAGCAAGACCCAGTCTCTACAAAAAAAAAAAAAAGAAAAGAAAAGAAAAAAATACACACACACACACACACACACACACACACACACATACTGGGTGTGGTGGCTCCAGTCTGTAGTCCCAGCTACTCGAGAAGCTGAGGTAGGAGGATTGCCTGAATCCAGGAGTTGGAGCCTGCAATGAGCTGTGATCAGGACACTGCTCTAGCTTGACCATCAGAGTGAGACCCTGTCTCAAAAACAAACAAACAAAACAAAACAAAATACATACACACACACAGCCAGAGCCAGCACTGAGGGAGAGGCTGGCCTCAGGGGTGGGGTCACAGGCATTTCTCAGGTCCCTCTCAGTGGTCTTTGTCTCTTTTTCCTGGAGGTGGAGGAGTCTGTACTTCATGAGGAGAAGTCCTCTGAAGAAGGCGGGAGATACTCAGGAGCGGGGTCCGGAGAGGGAAAAGGATGAGGAAGTGGAGACAAAGTGGAGGGGGCAGGGCAAGAAGGGCACATGTGAGGAATGGGGAGGGGGAGGACCTTCCAGCTGTCAGAAAGGTCCCACGCAGAATTTGGCTCTTGGTTTTTCTGCTTTATCAGGATGGATTTGGGAAACCAGCCGGAGCGGGAGATAAGGAGTCTACCTTGCAAAGGACACGTGTGAGTCTCCTCCTAATTTGAACTCATGAGTAGCAGCTGACAGCCAGGACCCTTGTGTGGGGCGCGTGACGCCCCTTTGCAACCAGGGCGTTTTCTGCACCCCACCAGCCATCCCTCCTGGGACCACGCTGGTCCTCTCCAACCCTAACAGGGAGAGAAGGAAGGAGAGGTCTGGAGGCTTTGGGTCCTCCCTCGTGCTCCTTCTTCCTCTGCCATTTATTCCCTGAGTGTCCTTGACTTTCCTCCGCTACCCGGACCCCACTACAGCAAAGCACATCCTGCACACTGGCCTGGACTCCCTTTGTAACCACCCAGTGTGTTCACCTTGCTGACTGCCTAGACAAAGCCGATTTATCAAGGCAGGGGAATTACAATAGAGAAAGAGTAATTCATGCAGAGCCGGCCGTGCGGGAGACCAGAGTTTTATTACTCAAATCTGTCTCCCCGAAAACTCTGATCAGTTTTTAAGGATAATTTGGTGGATAGGGGGGGCCAGTGAATCAGGAGTGCTGATTGGTTGGCTCCGGTATGAAATCATAGTGAGTGGAGGCTGTTCTCTTAGGCTGAGTCAGTTCCTGAGTGGGGGGCCACAGGACTGGTTGGCAGGTCCAGATGGGGTCCTCCAGTTGTTAGAAATGCAAAAACCTGGCCTGGCGTGGTGGCTCACGCCTGTAATCCCAGCACTTTGGGAGCCCGAGGCGGGCGGATCACGAGGTCAGGAGATGGAGACCATCCTTGCTAACACGGTGAAACCCCGTCTCTACTAAAAATACAAAAAATTAGCCGGGTGTGGTGGCGGGAGCCTGTAGTCCCAGCTACTCAGTAGGCTGAGGAAGGAGAATGACGTGAACCCGGGAGGCGGAGCTTGCAGTGAGCCGAGATCGCGCCACTGCACTCCAGCCTGGGCGACAGAGCGAGACTCCGTCAAAAAAAAAAAAAAAAAAAAGAAAAGAAAAGAAAGAAAGAAAAAGAAAAAAGAAATGAAAAATACATCTCAAAAGGCCGCTCTGAGGTTCACAATAGTGATGTTACCTTCAAGAGTAACTGGGGAAGTTGCAAATCTTATGACCTCCGGAATAATGGCTGGTAATATTCAGAATTCCAGCCCCTCTCATCCTAACTTAATGGCTGGCGGCCTTTCATTCGTTTTAAAAGAACACTTTCCCTTTAAACTATAAATTCCTTCCCAAGGCTAGTTCGGCCTATGCCCAGAAATGAACAAGGGCAGGTTAGCGGTTAGAAGCAAGATAGGGTGAGTTAGGTTTGATGTCTTTCACTGTCATCATTTCCTTACTTATAATTTTGCAAAGGCGGTTTCACCTTGGCTTCAGCCCCACCCATGCAGTAACACTGTGCCCTGTCCTTCCAACCACTGCCACTAGGTGAAAGCAGAGAGAGCATCGCCCAGATGGGCTAGATTCTTCTCACAGGCTCACTGCTAGAACGAACATTCTTGAGACTTTAGATCTAAGTCAGCCTGATTCCTGAAAGCCTTGGACCGTTTCCAAAATCAAATCAATACTCCAGGAACAAGATCTGCCTCGACTTTGTCTCCATCCAAGGACGCTATGGCAACGCAGTTTTCAAACGTGCTTTGAGAATAAATGGAACAGGGTCCCCTGTGTCCCCACTCATTTGCGTTTCCCTTTTTATTACAGCCAACCCCTTTTGTAAATATTGTTACACATCTCTCTATTCCACTGAAAACATCTCTTTCAAAGGCACTTTAAGAAAGATTCAATGACATGAAAATATGAAGGATCCTCTTGAAAGAGTTTCTGGTGGTGGGTTTTAAAGAACATTTTGGTTTTTAAAACTCTGTAACCATTTTGGTGTGGGGCTTAGCTTCGTATTTTCAAATTGAAATATTCTCTTCCTTAACGTCCGCATAAATCCAAGTTCACAATTTTTATTATTTTAAAATTTTATTTATTTTTGTTTTGGGGACAGGGTCTCCTCCTGTCACCCAGGCTGGATTGCAATGGCACAATCATAGCTCACTGCAGCCTGGAACTCCCCGGCTCAAGCGATCCTCCTGCCTCCAATTCCCAAAGAGCTGAGATTATAGGCATGAACCACTGCAACTCACCCAAATCCAAGTTTATACTAAAAGATAAAATTCCAACATTTCAGAGAAAATGAAAGTCACAAAGTTATCCCAGTCTCTGAAGTCACTGTCAAAACTTTGGTGAGGAATCTTCCAGGTTTTCCCCTACTTAAAATATATATTAATATTATGTAAGTAATATTAGCGGCATTTTCACCCAGGCTGGAGTGCAGTGGCACGATCTCAGCTCACTGCAACCTCCACCTCCCGGGTTCAAGCAATCCTCCTGCCTCAGCCTCCCGAGTAGCTGGGACTACAGGCGCCGGCCACCATGCCTGGCTAATTTTTGTATTTTCAGTGGAGACAGGGTTTCACCATATTGACCAGGCTGATCTCGAACTCCTGACCTCAGGTGATCTGCCCACCTTGGCCTTCCAAAGTTCTGGGATTACAGGCGTGAGCCACTGGGCCCAGCCTCCTTAACCTTTTAAAAAAGATTAAAAGTACGCTGGGCACTTCTTTTCATAGCAATACTTAAAAGCGATCTTACTCTTTTTAATGACTGTATAGAATTTTATAATATAACTCTTCTTTGGGAGACAATGGAAATGTTCTTTATCTTCACTGTGGTAGTGGAGATGTGGGTGTGTACAACAGCTAAAATTCAACAAGTTGAACACTTTAAATAGATGCAGTTTATTGCATGCAAAGTATGTCCCAATATGATGATTTAAAAATATTATCGTCTTTGAGATTTGTACTTTGCTTATGTGAAACAAAACAAAACAAAAACCCTGTTCTTGTGCCCAGGAGACACACCCTGACTCATCTGGAGGTAGAGGGTCATGCTGTCTGCAACTTACCCTCACAGGCTCTGAAATAACAATAATAGCAGTATATTTACAGATTCAGAAAGAGAGAAAGCTATAGTAAAAATGTTCATAAGTAAAACTAGATAAAGGGCAAAAATAAATAATAAAACTACGTCTTTTAAATTTTATCTCTCCTTTACTTTTTCTCTCCCCTTTTCTTCCTATCTCTTCCCTCCTTTCTTAACACGTCCCCCTATCCTTCCCTCCTTTCACCACTCTCTGCACTTGATCCCCGGTGTATTCCAGCCTCCAGGCCAACACACTTCACCGCGTCCGCCTGGGGCAGGTCAGAAAAGGGACGCGAGGCGGCGCTGTCACAGCATTCTATGCGCCCCAGCGCCCTGGGCCGCGCTGGTCTTGTATCATTTCAGTGGTCACTCCCGTCTTTGACGGGGCCACACTCGGGGTGTAAATTAGGATCCTCACTGAAGCGGCGGGACCCTGAGAGGCTTTTTCCTGGCCCCTTAGTTGTGGGTTTTCCTGCGGGCGGTGGAGCCCGTTTCCATAAGAACCGCCCAGAGGCGGGCGCTGCCTTCCAGGGGTGAAGCGTTTTCGGACCCTGGAATCTGTGGGCGGCCTGCGGCAGGGGCTGAGGCGCAGTTCCCTACTCACCCAGATCCGAATCCACCGCGGTGCTGTTTCCAGCGAGTCAGATTCCAGATCGCGCTCCAGCCTGGACTCGGAATTCCTGCCCCGCGGGTCTGCATTTTCACAGCGGCAGGTGTGAGTGCCGCGCAGCTGGAGACCAGAAGCCTGAGGCAGCTCGGCCCTCCCCAGCCCAAAGTGCCGTTATTCCGTTTCTGTATCAGTAAACACGTTTCATTTTCCGGAGACCAGGGAAGGGTGATGGGTGATCCCAGTCCTCGCAGTGAATTCCGGGCCACAAAATTCAAAACGCTTGCGGGAAAAGCCGTGCGCGGTGGCTCAAGCCTGTAATTCCAGCACTTTGGGAGGCCGAGGCGGGCGGATCACCTGAGGTCGGGATTTCCAGACCAGCCTGACCAACATAGAGAAACCCCGCCTCTACTAAAAATACAAAATTAGCCGGGCATGGTGGCGCATGCCTGTAATCCCAGCTAGTCGGGAGGCTGAGGCAGGAGACTCACTTGAACCCGGGAGGCGGAGGTTGCTGTGAGCCGAGATCGCGCCACTGCACTCCAGCCTGGGCAACAAGAGCGAAACTCCGTTTCAAAAAAAAACAAAAAACAAAAAGCTTTCGGGCGCCGAGGGCATCCCCGCCCTGAATTTTGTGAGCGACCGCGCTGGGCCGTTTCTCTTTCTTTTCCGGACCCTGCAGTGGCGCCTAAAGTCTGCGAGGAGGAAGTCGCCTCTGTGCTTGTGAGTCCAGGGATCTAAGGCAAGTGCTGAGGGAGAAAACATAGTTGATGGGGCAGAGCAGAGGGGGCTGGAGGTGGGGTGGAGGGGGAGGGCTTTGAACAGAAGACCTGGGAGGCTTGGTGGGGGAGGGGACCCAGGCCTCGGCGCTGAGAAGCAACTCCCCTGGAGCTCAAGTCCATCTTGGCCTCCCCTAGCCCAGGGGAGGACTGGCTTCATGTCTCCCTGAAACCGCTTCTAAATGCCTTAGAACAAACCTTAAATATTCATTATTATTATTGAACTATTAAAAGTCTTTTTTGGAGGCGAGCTGAATGAGACCCTTTGCTGGAGCTGGCACACGGAGGAAGTCCTGGAGGGAGGGTAGACACCGTGGAGGGAAGGGCTTGGGACCTGTGTCAGGAGAGCTGGGTCCATCTCCCTCTCTGTCTCAAACTATGCTTATGATCTTTAGCAGTGAAAATAATCTCTCTAAGGTGGGGACAGGACCCCAGTCCCTGCTGTGCTTAATAAATTATGAGGATCAAAATAAATTATCAGTGAATGTGTATGGGAAGACTAAGAAATTGTTAAAATTCTCGAATACATTACATTTTCATCCACAGAAAAGTGTAGGCTAGGGATGATAGGGGAATAGTTAGTAATGACAGGGATAGTGGAACTTAAAAAAAAAGGTTGTGAGGCCAACAAAAAAGAAATGGACACAGTTCCTGATCCTGGAGGGTTCATAGTCTAATGGGGGAGGAGGGTAGAAGATGGTAGGTGATGGCTGGGTGTGTGGCACTCGCCTGTAGTCCCAGCTACTCAAGAGGCTGTGGTGGGAGGATTGCTTGAGCCCAGGCATTTGAGGCTGCAGTGAGCTATAATCACGCCACTGCATTCCAACTGAGTGACACAGCAAGACTCCTCTCTTAAAAAAATAAAATAAAATAAATGAAAAAAATAAGATTCAAGACAGGGCACAGTCGGTACCATCAGGAAGGTTCAAACCATGGGCTAGATCAGTAGTTCTAAAACTTGACTACACATCGGAATCACGTAGGGAACTTTAAAAGATACTAAGGTTTAGGTCCAACCTAGGTTTACTGATTTAACTGGTTGTGGCTGTGGCCTGGGAACATGGATATTAAAAACTCTCCAGGTGGTTCTACGCAGTGGCTAGGTTTGAAGACCACTGCCTAGATGTCCCAATGACTAAGAATGTGCGCTGGGTACAAGCCAATTCTCTTAGTAGAGGCTTTCCAGACAGAATTCTTATTATTGAGAATTGAGAATCCACATGCCACACATAATTTATCGTTTTAAAGTGTACAGATCAGTGGCTTCTAGCATAATCACAAAGTTGTGCCACCGTCACCACTATCTACTTGGGAAGATTTTCTTCCTTTTTTTCTTTTTTTTTTTTTTTTGAGGCGGAGCCTTGCTCTGTTGCCCAGGCTGGAGTGCAGTGGCGCAATCTCAGCTCACTGCAAGCTCCGCCTCCCGGGTTGACCCCATTCTCCTGCCTCAGCCTTCTGAGCAGCTGGGACTACAGGTACCCGCCACCACGCCCAGCTAAGTTTTTTGTATTTTTAGTAGAGACGGGGTTTCACTGTGTTAGCAGGATGCTCTCGATCTCCTGACCTCGTGATCTGCCCACCTCGACCTCCCAAAGTGCTGGGATTACAGGCGTGAGCCACCGTGCCCGGACCCTTTTTCCTTTTTTTTTTTTTTAAAGGCTAGTCAAGTGAAACAGTGGGAGTGAAGATGAAACAAAAACATCTATAACTGGTTGTGATCAATTAGTTGTAAACACCACTGCACTCAGACCAGCCTAATTGGGAAGATTTTGAGGATATGCTGTGGTCTGATGGGTTCCAAGGCAGAGGTGACAGTAACCTGGAAGAGGGAGACTGCTTAGGCAGTGGCATCCTGGTGGGATAGGGTGAGGAGATCCCAGAGCCCACGTTTACTGCAACCCTGGGGAAATGTCACCAGAGAAATGGGGGTGGTGCCAGACAATAGATTGTGGGAGCTATGGTTTCCATGGTAGAGTAGAAGCATCCACCATGTGTGACATTCAGCAGATGGGGCGCTGTGGGTGGCTTGGAGCACTCTGGTTGTAACTGAGGCAGGCACAGTGTTTAGGAAGCCTGTGCAGTAATCCAGACTGAAGGGAGGGGAAAGCCTAGACTAAGACTATGGCTGTGGGATTGAAATAGCGTTGAAGGAGCTGACTTTGACTCCCGGAGATGAAGGGGAAAGAGGAAATCAGAAGGGACCAAGGATGGTGAAGTTCTTAAGAGAAACTGAGGAGGAAGAGAGGATGATGTGGTGGGAGACGTGTAGAGAGTCCTTGTAGATCTGTCATATTGAAGGGGACTATGGTCCCAGAGGTACAGATGTCCTAAAACAGGCTGGAAAAGGGAGTCTGGAGAGAGCTTGGTGTTGTAATGAACCATGGGGAGCCGCCTCGTTGGCCCTGTGATTACCCAGGAACTGAATAGAGAGGGGGCCCTGGGAGACCTCAGACACTTAGAGGATATAAGGGGGTGAAAGGGGGGACCTGGCTTTGAGTCGAAGGGAGGAGAAGGAGATTATATAGCTGAAACGTCTAAGAGAATTTGTGATCTGAGCGTTTCTACTGGGGCAAGTGCTTCTGAAAGGCAGAGGCGGCTGAGATCTGGAAACAGGTCTGCAAATCTGGTCACTGGTCTCATTGCAGTAACGCTGTGCGCGGTTGAGGGAGTGTATTGGGAGAAAAACCACGCGTTGTCTGTCCCGGAAGGAACAAGCCAGTGAGAGCCGGCCTGATGGGAGGACCGGCGAAAGGGGCTTGGTGAAGCCCGCGCTCCTTGGGGGTGGGAATGCGGGGATGGGGTGGTCGCGATGCAGGGAGGGCGACAGGGTCCAGGTCGTGCTCATAAGGTTGGAGCTGTACTCTCAGCTACTCGGGGCTGGTCCTTGATTTTGGCTGCGCTCGCGCACGCTCCCCCTTTTCTGGCCGCCAGGTCCCGCCTTCTAAATTTCCCCAGGTCTCCAGGCCGCTAGAATTTTCTCTTCTGAACGTGGCCCCGCCCTCTCCACTCATGATTGGCCCTAAGTTCCGGGCCTCAGTTTTCACTGGATAAGCGGTCGCTGAGCGGGGCGCAGGTGACTAAATTTCCACGGGGTCTTCTCACCGTTTTCATTCAGTTGGCCACTGCTGAGCAGCTGAGAAGGTGGCGACGTAGGGGCCATGGGGCTGGGCCGGGTCCTGCTGTTTCTGGCCGTCGCCTTCCCTTTTGCACCCCCGGCAGCCGCCGCTGGTGAGTGGGGATCCTGGCGGTCCCCGGCGGAGCGGGAGCGGCGGGGCGTTTCCGGGGGTCCGGGTGGGTTGCCGCGAGCGCTGTGCGGTCAGGGCGGGGCTCAGGTGTGCTGTCTGGAGTGCAGGGAGCTGGACGCCGCCTGTTCCCGCCACACCTCAGCCCTGCTTTCCCATCTCTCGTCTCTTTTTTTTTTTCTTTCTGAGACGGAGTCTCTGTCGCCTAGGCTGTAGTGCAGTGGCGCGATCTTGGCTCACTGCAAGCTCCGCCTCCCGGGTTCACGCCATTCTCCTGCCTCAGCCTCCCTAGTAGCTGGGACTACAGACGCCCGCCACCACGCCCGGCTAATTTTTTTTTTTTTTTTTTTTTTTTTTTTTTTTTGAGACGGAGTCTCGCTCTGTCGCCCAGGCCGGACTGCGGACTGCAGTGGCGCAATCTCGGCTCACTGCAAGCTCTGCTTCCCGGGTTCACGCCATTCTCCTGCCTCAGCCTCCCGAGTAGCTGGGACTACAGGCGCCCGCCACCGCGCCCGGCTAATTTTTTGTGTTTTTAGTAGAGATGGGGTTTCACCGTGTTAGTCAGGATGGTCTCGATCTCCTGACCTCGTGATCCGCCCGCCTCGGCCTCCCAAAGTGCTGGGATTACAGGCGTGAGCCACCGCCCCCGACCTCCCGTCTCCTTTCAGTCCTCCTCGGGATCGCGCATCACCCGCATTTTCTGGTCTCTCCTGCACTTGCTCTCCTCGCCTCTCCTCCGTCTCCTCTCACTTTTCGGACAAACCAGTCCTTCTGAGGCCCCTGGGTTCCCGGGCTGCTCCTGTGAATGGCATTGGAAGGCCGTTCCAGCGCGGCCGCTGAGGCAGCCACTTCCCCCGGTGCTGGGGGCGGATCTCAGGTCCCTGAAGTCCTGTCCTCTCCCGGAGCCGATGTGTTCTCAGCTCCTGGGCCGCAGCTCCTGGAGTTGGGGCCCTCCTTTCTTGGGACCCAGAGGTGGTGCTTCTTGCTGCTGTGGGGACTGTGGGGGGTCCTGACTCTCAAGCTGAGGGGTTGGAGTCTGCAGGCTCCGGGCAGAGGATTCTTCCTGCGACTTCTGTCATCCCCAGCTCATTCTCCCCTCGCCTCCGGCTCCGGGGGTCCTCTCCTCTCTCGCATCCCACCCCTACTAATGACCAATGATCTAAGGACACCAGATTCCCTCTCACCTCCTCCCTGCCCATCTTACGGCGCCCTGGGTCCTGTTGCTCTCCCAGCTCCCTGCTACCCCTTCCTGTGTGCTGTTCTCTGATCCATTTCTAGGGTGTCCTCTGCCTTCATCCCCCGCCCCCGCCACTGAAGGTCCCTCCTGCCTCCTTTATGGGCCTTTCCTGCAAGCAGCCTTCACTCCGTGCTGCCCCTATGCCTCCCCATTCCCAAATGTCCCTGACTCTAACTTTCTGGTGCTGCCTTTTGTCCGGGGGGGGTCTTCCCTCCATCCCACTCCCCTCCAGACCCCCAAGGAGAGCCCTGATGCTAATGGCAGTTGGGCCTTAGGCAGGGCGCAGGGCAGCGCAGATGCCCCCTCCCCTCCAGTGCAGGTGCCTGCTCTGGGCCCTGCCTCATTGTGGCCCCTTCCCCACTCCTTCATCCTCAGCCTCACCCTCTTGAGGACCCCACCCTCCAGCCCACAGGTGCTGGACCATCCCTCCCTGGTCCCTCCGCCCCTCTCCACCTTGGGACCTTGTGCTGCTCCTATCTCTTGCCCAGCTGCCTGGGGCCCTCAGCAAGTTCTCATCTTTCAGTGGGAAAGTGGGAGTGCTGGAGCATATGACAGTGCTGAGAATCTTTCCCAAGCCCCACCCTCCCCCAGAGCACCCTCCCCTCCTGTCCTCACCCTACCCCAAGTTCTCCCACAGTCACTCCTGCCCCATGCTCATGCCGCCCTCCAGTTCTTGCTCTGCCCATCTCCCCTCCCCAACCCAGACCTAAAACAGGCTGTTGGGCCAGCTGTTCCTTGACCTTCCTTCTTTTCTTTTGGTTCCTTGACCCCAGTGGGCTCTCACTCCCCACACCGCATATCTAAAATCTGTTTTGCCTGCTCTTGGGGTGCCACTGCTCCCCCTCCAGCATTACTCCTTTTGGCAGGTCCTTCCTCAGGCTGAGAATCTCCCCTTCTACCTTGGTTTTCTCTCTCTGGCCAGCACCCCCACCCCTTGCTTTGTTTTTAATTTTTAACTTTTGTTTGGGTACATAGTAGATATGTATGTATATATTTATGGGGTACATGGGATATTTTCACACAGGCCTACAATATGTCATAATCACATCAGGGTAAATGGGTTATCTATCACAACAAGCATTTATCCTTTCTTTGTGCTACAAACAATCCCATTATGCTCTTTCAGTTATTTTTAAATGTACAATAAATTATTGTTGGCTGTACTCACCCTGCTGTGCTATCTACTAGATCTTATTCATTCTAACTATATTTTTGTACCCATTAACCATCCGCACTCCCCCACTCCCCACTACCCTTCTCAGCCTCTGGTATTCGTAATTCTATTGTCTCTCCCCATGAGGTCCATTGTTTTAATTTTTGGCTGCCACAAATAAGTGAGAACATGCGAAGTTTGTCTCTCTGGGCCTGGGGCTTATTTCACTTCACATGATGACCTCCAGTTCTTTGCAAATGACATGATGGCTGAATAGTACTCCACATACACGTGTGCACCACATTTTCTTTCTCCATTCGTCTGTTGATGGACACTTAGGTCGCTTGCAGATCTTGGCTATTTTGAATAGTGCTGCAATAAACATGGAAAAGTAGATAGCTCTTTAATATACCGATTTCCTTTCTTTTGGGTATATGCCTAACAGTGGGAGTGCTGGAGCATATGACAGCTCTATTATATTTTTAGTTTTTGGAAGAACCTCCACATTATTTCCCACAGTGGTTATACTAGTTTACGTTCCCACCAACAGTGTACAAGGGTTCTCTTTTGCTACATCCTCACCAGGATTCCTTATTGCCTGTCTTCTGGATAAAAGCCAGTTTATCTGGGGTGGGATGATATCTCGTAGGAGTTTTGATTTGCCTTCATCTGATGACGAATGATGTTGAGCACCTTTTGATATACCTGTTTGCCATTTGTATGTCTTCTTTTGAGAAATGACTATTCAGATCTTTTGCTCATTTTTAAGTTGGATTATTAGATATTTTTCCTATAGAGTTGTTTGAGATCCTTATATGTTTTGGTTACTAATCCTTTGTCAGATGAATAGTTTGAAAATATTTTCTCCCATTCTTGGATGGTCTCTTCACTTTGTTTATTGTTTCCTTTGCTGTGCAGAAGCTTTTTAACTTGATATGATCCCATTTGTGCATTTTTACTTTGGTTGCCTGTGCTTGTGGGGTATTACTTAAAAAATCTTTGCCAGTCCAATATCTTAGAGAGTTTCCCCAATGTTTTCTTTCATAGTTTTCATAGTTTGAGGTCATAGATTTACATCTTTAATCCTTTTTGATTGGATTTTTATATGTGGTGAGAGATAGGGTCCAGTTTCATTCTTCTGCATAAGGATATCTAGTTTCCCCAGCACCATTTATTGAAGAGACTCTCCTTTGCCCTGTATGTGTTCTTGCTAACTTTGTTAGAAATAACTTCACTGTAGATATATGGATTTGTTTCTGGGTTCTCTATTCTGTTTCATTGGTCCGTGTGTCTGTTTTTATGCCACTACCATGCTGTTTTGATTACTCTAGCTCTGTAGTATAATTTGAAGTCAGATAATGTGATTCCTCTAGTTTTGTTCTTTTTGCTCAGGGTAGCTTTATCTATTCTGGGTTTTTTGTGATTCCATATACATTTTAGGATTGTTTTTCTATTTCTGTGAAGAATGTCATTGGTGTTTTGATAGCAATTGCATTGAATTTGTAGATTGCTTTGGGTAGGATGGATATTTTAACAAAATTGATTCTTCCGGCTGGGCACGGTGGCTCACTCCTGTAATCCCAGCACTTTGGGAGGCCGAGTCAGGTGGATCACTTGAGATCAGGAGTTCAAGACCAGCCTGATCAACATGGGGAAACCCCGCCTCTACTAAAAATACAAAATTAGCCAGGCGTGGTGGCATATGCCTGTAATCCCAGCTACTCAGGAAAGCTGAGGCAGGAGAATCGCTTGAACCCAGGAGGCAGAGGTTGTGGTGAGCTGAGATTGCACCATTGCACTCCAGCCTGGGCAACAGGAGCAAAACTCCATCTCAGAAAATAAAAATAAACATTGATTCTTCCAGTCCATGAACATGGAATGCCTTTTCCATTTTTTGTGTCCTCTTCAATGTTTTGCATCAGTGCTTTATAGTTTTTATTGGAGAGATCTTTCACTTCTTCAGTTAAGTCTATTCCTAGGTATTTTATTTTATTTGTAGCTAATGAAAATGGGATTCGTTTCTTGATTTCTTTTTCAGATTATTTGCTGTTAGCACATAGAAATGCTATTGTTTTTTGCATGTTGATTTTGTATCCTGCAACTTTACTGAATTTGTTCTTCAGTTCTAATAGTTTTTTGGTGGAGTCTTTAGGTTTTCCAAATATCAGACCACATGATGTGCAAACAAGGATAATTTGACTTCTTCTTTTCCAATTTTGATGCCCTTTATTTCCTTCTCCTGTCAGATTGCTCTAGCTAGGACTTGCAGTATTGTGTTGCATAACTGTAGTGAAAGTAGTCATCCTTGTCTTGTTCCAGATCTTAAAGAAAAGGCTTTCAGTTTTCCCCCATTCAGTATGTTACTAGCTGTGAGTTGTCATATATGGCTTTTATTATATTGAGGTCTGTTCCTTGTATACTCAGTTTTTTTAGAGTTTTTATCATGAAGGGATGTTAAACTTATCAAATGCTTTTTCAGTATCAATTGAAATGGTGATATGGCTTTTGTCCTTTATTCTGTTGATACGATGTATTACATTGATTGATTTGTGTATGCATACCTGGAATATATTCCACTTGGTCATGAAGAATGATCTTTTTAATATACTGTTGAATGTGGTTTGCTAGTATTTCATTGATGATATTTGCCTCAATGTTCATCAGGGATATAGGCCTGTAGTTTTCTTTTTTTGATGTGTCTTTGCCTGATTTTGATATCAGGATATTCCTGGCTTTGTAAAATGAGTTTGGAAGTATTCCCTCCTCCTCTGTTTTTCAGAACAATTTGAATAGGACTGATATTTCTTGTTCTTTAAACGTTTAATTGTGGTAAATTATACATTACATACATTTTACTGTTTTAACCGCTTTTAAGTGTATACTCGGTGGCATTAGATACATTCACATTTTTGTGCAACCCAAAACTCTGTACCCATTAATCGGTAACTCCCCATTCCTCCCTACCTCTGGCCCCTGGTAACCATCATTCTACTTTTTGTTTCTATGAATTTGACCACTCTAGGTACCTCATTTAAGTAGAATCGTGTAATGTTTGTCTTTTTGATTCTGGCTTATTTCACTTATAATATTTCGAGGTTCATCCAGGTTGTAGTATGGGTCAGATTTTCATTCCTTTTAATGATGAATAATACTCATTATATGTATGTACCACATCTTGGTTATCCATTCCTCAGACAATGGACACTTGGGTTACTTCTACCTTTTGGATATTGGCAAATATTTCATTTCTCTTGGGTATATATTTATTTCTTTTGAATATTTCTTTTGGGTATATATCCAGAAATAGAATTGTTGGATCATACGGTATTTCATTTTTTAATTTTTAGAGGAATCACCATAGTGTTTTCCATTGCAGGCGTGCCATTTTGTATTTCTAGAAGCAGTATACAGGGGCTTCAGTTTCTCTACCTCCTTGCCAAACTTGCTGTTTGTGTGTGTGTGTGTGTGTGTGTGTGTGTGTGTGTGTGTGTGTGATAATAGCCACCCTGATTGGTTTGAAGTGGTATCTCGTTGTGGTTTGGATTTGCATTTTCCTAATGAGTACTGATATTGAGCATCTTTTCATGTGTTTATTGATCATTTGTATATTTTCTTTGAAGAATTGGCCATTGAAGTCTTGCCCATTTTTCTCCCCCACATAGCTTCTCATGGCTATTTTGCCCATTTTTGAGTGGGTTGACTGTTTTGTTGTTTTTGTCAAACTTTTTTGCATATTCTGGAAACTAATCTCTCTTTCTTTTTTTTTTTTTTTTTTTTTTTTTTTTTTTTTTTTTTTTTTTTTGAGATGGAGTCTTGCTCTGTTGCCCAGGCTGGAGTGCAGTGGCACGATCTCAGCTCACTGCAAGCTCCGCCCGCTAGCTTCATGCCATTCTCCCGCCTCAGCCTCCCGAGTAGCTGGGACTACAGGCGCCCGCCACCACACCCGGCTAATTTTTTGTATTTTTAGTAGAGATAGGGTTTCACCATGTTAGCCAGGATGGTCTCAATCTCCTGACCTGGTGATACACCCGCCTCGGCCTCCCAAAGTGCTGGAACTACAGGCTTGAGCCACCACGCCTGGCCTTCAACCTCTTATCAGATATATGACTTGCAATATTTATTTCATTTCAGGGGTTGATTGCTTTCTCACTCTGTGCCCTTTGATGCACAGATATTTTGAATTTTTCATGAGTCTAGTTTGTCAGTTCTTTCTATTCTATCTGTGCTTTGGCGTCATATCCATGAAAGCACTGTCAAACCCTATGTCATGAACATTATACCCAATGTTTTTTTCTAAGATATTTTTATGTTTTAGTTCTTGAGTTTAGAGTTTAGGTCTTTGATTCATTTTGAGTTAATTTTTGTATATAGTACAAATTAAGGGTCCAATTTTATATTATTTGAACATCCAGTTCCCCCAGCACTATTTGCTGAAAAGATGGACTTACTCTTTGAGACCCTGTCACCTGCCCACCCCAGTGGACACTAGCTGGTCCATCCAATTGCTGTCCTGGGGCCTTGTCATGCCACTCTTCCACTTTGGACCCAAGCCCACATCATTGCTCCCCTCTGGGATACTGACCCCACTATAAACTTCACTGGGGCTACAACCTTCCTACCCCTTGTGCCTCATGACCACCCCCTCCCTTGTCCCCACCATGCCCATGATGAGTCTTTTCTCGAGGCAGCTCGCCTTGCCTCCATCTCACCCTCACCTGTGCACCACAGCCACACTGGACATGGGTCCCTCTGAGCCTGAGTCCCTTCCCATTCCCACTGTCCCCTCTGGCAAGACCTTCCTTCCAACACTGCCTTCATGCTCCTCCCTTGCCCCTGCAGGGCAGCCTCTCCCCTTGGCCCCTATTCCCTTAGGGGGCTTGTGGCCACCCAGTCCTGGCACCTGACCTACAAGTTTGCCATCTTCATTCCCCCTTCTTCTGTTCATCAGCCCCCTCCTCTATCCTCCCACCCTCACAGTTTTCCTTGTATATGAAATCTTCGTTCTTGTCCTTTTGCCCATGTGCATTTCCTGCCTCCTCAGGGAGGTCGGGACAGCAGACCTGTGTGTTAAACATCAATGTGAAGTTATTTCCAGGAAGAAGTTTCACCTGTGATTTCCTCTTCCCCAGAGCCCCACAGTCTTCGTTACAACCTCATGGTGCTGTCCCAGGATGGATCTGTGCAGTCAGGGTTTCTCGCTGAGGGACATCTGGATGGTCAGCCCTTCCTGCGCTATGACAGGCAGAAACGCAGGGCAAAGCCCCAGGGACAGTGGGCAGAAGATGTCCTGGGAGCTAAGACCTGGGACACAGAGACCGAGGACTTGACAGAGAATGGGCAAGACCTCAGGAGGACCCTGACTCATATCAAGGACCAGAAAGGAGGTGAGAGTCGGCAGGGGCAAGAGTAATGGGAGGCCTTCTCCAGGAAAGTTGGAGACAGAGAGCAGGGACCTGTCTCTTCCCGCTGGATCTGGCTGGGGGTGGGGATGAGGAATAGGGTCAGGGAGGCTCAGCAGGGTGGTGAGCCGGAACTCAGCCCACACAGGGAGGCATGGAGGAGGGCCAGGGAGGGGTCGCCGCTGGGCTGAGTTCCTCACTTGGGTGGAAAGGTGATGGGTTCGGGAATGGAGAAGTCACTGCTGGGTGGGGGCAGGCTTGCATTCCCTCCAGGAGATTAGGGTCTGTGAGATCCATGAAGACAGCAGCACCAGGGGCTCCCGGCATTTCTACTACGATGGGGAGCTCTTCCTCTCCCAAAACCTGGAGACTCAAGAATCGACAGTGCCCCAGTCCTCCAGAGCTCAGACCTTGGCTATGAACGTCACAAATTTCTGGAAGGAAGATGCCATGAAGACCAAGACACACTATCGCGCTATGCAGGCAGACTGCCTGCAGAAACTACAGCGATATCTGAAATCCGGGGTGGCCATCAGGAGAACAGGTACCGACCCTGGCCAGGGGCTCTACTGTTCCCGCAATTCTGCTAGAGTTGCCTCGCCTCCCAGCTCTGTCCGGGGAAACCCTCCCTGTGCTATGGATGCAGGCGTTTCCTGTTGGCATATTGTGTCCTGATTTGCCTCTCCTGTTAGAGCCATTGGATAAAGACAGTGGGTCTGGGACTGAACTGTCCAGTGTTGTAATCTGGGAAAGCAGTGGGCCCTCTGACAGAAGCCTGAGCCTGGGGTGGGAGTTAGGCAGGAGAGGAAGCCCTCAGGGCCAGGGCTGCCCCCTCTGCCTCCCGGCCTGCCCATCCCGGAGAGTTCCCTCCTGGCCCCATGACCCAGGAGTCCACCCTTGACATCCCCCTCCTCAGCATCAATGTGGGGATCCCAGAGCCTGAGGCCACAGTCCCAAGGCCCATCCTCCTGCTAGCCTGGAGGAATTAGGCCCCAGGGTGAGGACAGACTTACAGAAGGTCCGGGATCTGTGAGGGATTCAGCCAGAGTGAGAACAGTGGAGAGGAGCAGCCCTGTTCCCTGCATCTCCCTTAGAGGGGAGCAGGGCTTCACTGGCTCTGCCCTTTCTTCTCCAGTGCCCCCCATGGTGAATGTCATCTGCAGCGAGGTCTCAGAGGGCAACATCACCGTGACATGCAGGGCTTCCAGCTTCTATCCCCGGAATATCACACTGACCTGGCGTCAGGATGGGGTATCTTTGAGCCACAACACCCAGCAGTGGGGGGATGTCCTGCCTGATGGGAATGGAACCTACCAGACCTGGGTGGCCACCAGGATTCGCCAAGGAGAGGAGCAGAGGTTCACCTGCTACATGGAACACAGCGGGAATCACGGCACTCACCCTGTGCCCTCTGGTGAGCCTGGGGTGACCCTGGAGAGGGTCAGGCCAGGGTAGGAACAGCAGGGACGGCTGTGGCTCTCTGCCCAGTGTATAACAAGTCCCTTTTTTTCAGGGAAGGCGCTGGTGCTTCAGAGTCAACGGACAGACTTTCCATATGTTTCTGCTGCTATGCCATGTTTTGTTATTATTATTATTCTCTGTGTCCCTTGTTGCAAGAAGAAAACATCAGCGGCAGAGGGTCCAGGTGAGAAAAGGGGACAGTTTCTGGAGATGGGAAAGCTCCTTTCTAGGCAGTAGGGTCTCCTCATTGCTCCTGCCCAGACAAGACGTAGGTGACAAGGCTGCTGGGACAGGGGATGGAAGCTGGGGTATTTGGGAGGGGAATGGGAGCTGCATCTCCATCTACACCCATAAGTGCTTCCCAAGCCAGGGCTGGGGCAAGGCCTTCGAATATCCAGCTGTGGCCTCCTCCTGCTGCAAGTGAGGAGTGGGCAGCAGGGAGGGCTGTGGCACCTGCTCTGTCCCCATCCCAGCCTCTCTGTCTCTCGGGCTCACTAGGGTGCATCCAGGTGGGGTGAGTTGGGAATCACGTGCTGATTGCTGAGGGCCTGGATGATCATGGTGTCAGAGGGAGGAAATAGTAAAGGTGGCTGTGATCTGGGGAGGGCCAGAAACTGGAGAGGAATCCAAGGAGAGGCGATGCCCACCCGTGTGCCTCCTCCAGGAGGCACTTTCCAGGTTCCCACTACCTGGCCTCCCTGAGTTTCCTTGCAGATGACACAGATGAATAGATAAGCAGATGTCCCTGGGCCATTTGAGGAGCGGGGCCCAGCCCCTCATCAGGGCAGATGTGGTCCCTGTTTTCATCCTACCTCCAGCGTGTTTTCTTCTGCAGTCCCTGAGGGACACAGTCCCCAGGCGCCATCTCTTTGAGGCTTTGTTCTGTGCTCTGTGGCCTTACCTTGCCCTCCCTGAGCCAATTTCCCTTTCTCAAGGTGGTCACTGCCTGGTAAGTTTGGAGTAAGGGACAGTCAGAAGCATTTCCCCCACAGTCAGGTTGTTTGATGGGAGATGAAAAGAGACAGCAGAAGTTTTGTGTTTCTGCAAAAACAGAGGCAGTGCAGGGGACAGTGAGAGGCTGGGGTGTCCAGGAGACCTGAGTCTGGCGGTAGGGGCGCTGGTTTCTCATCCTTGAACCTAATTGCACTGTCAGTCGGCCCCTCATGCCTGAGCAGATGGGAAGGTTCGTCCCCTGCCCTGCAGCAAGAGGGCCCCGTCCAGGAGGCACCCACAGCAGGGGCAGTGCAGGTCTGTGGTCACTCCTGCTCTCACCTGCGGCGTCTCCCGTGGAGGGATTGTCACTTCTGGTTCCCTGTGGGCAGGAATGGTTTCCTCGTAGGTCACTGGGGTTTTGGCCAGGAAAAGGGTATGAAATTCATGTGCCAGTTTCTCAAAATTCCTGCTTTCAATGTTGATGTCCAATAAAGATGTTCGTAATTTCAGCTCTATAATCTTAATAGGATTTCCTCTAATACTGCTGTTGTAAAGCATATTAAATAAAACAGGAACTCAAATTTGGAGCCCCCTCTCCAGAAGGGTCTGTGTGGAGATGGTGGCTGTGGCAGCGGCAGTTCCCAGGTGCAGAGGGTGGGCAGAGGCAGCCTCAGGCTAAGGGGTCTCCCCTACTCCACGTGGAGAAAAGTCCTTGTAGGTTGCAAGGGCAGTGGCCTGGGTGGAATCCCTGCTAGGGACAGAGCAGGAAGGCCTCGCAGCCTCACCAAGCAGCAGCCCTGGGGTGAAGTAAGTGGACCAGGAGTAAGTGGACCAGGCAGGAGCAGTAGTGACTCAACAGCAGGTCACAGGCCTAGGTGGGTGCTGAAGGTCATGGGAGGCCAGGCCTCCTCGAGCAAGGTGGGGGGTCCCAGGGTCATGTCAGGTGCAGATCCTGTGGCAGCCATGTCTTTCCATGCTGGGCCTGCTGGGCCCCCCAGGCTTCCTGATGGGGTCCCCAGTTAGGAGCTGCCTGCTCAGGGCTGGGAGGGGAGGAGTGCTGAGCTGCAGATAGAGGGCAGGGCCCACAGTGGGCAGGGCCTGCCCTGGTGTGCAGGTGCCTCTGCAGGAGAGAAGGGCCTGGGGACTGAGAGCAAGGGTCAGGGCCTCTCTTTGGGGAGGCCTCTCACTGTAACAGGACTGGTCAGGCCTGAGAGGAGGGCACTGGGTTCCCTCTTGGGTCTTGTCCTTTTGTCTTGGGGCCCTTTCACTCCCTGCACGGTGAGTGGTGGGCACAGGACAGGGGCTGATGTTGATGGAGTGATGGGAGAGAACTGACGGGCTGGGAAAAGCAAGGAGGGAGGAAGAAAAAAGTGGGGGCCTCATCTTCTCTCAGAGAAAGGGTGAATCTGATTTTGGGGCAACTGAAGAGAGAAAAGTCCTTAGGGAATAAACACAACACTGCACCCAGTGGAGCATTTACCCGTTTCCCTCTTCTCCAGAGCTTGTGAGCCTGCAGGTCCTGGATCAACACCCAGTTGGGACAGGAGACCACAGGGATGCAGCACAGCTGGGATTTCAGCCTCTGATGTCAGCTACTGGGTCCACTGGTTCCACTGAGGGCACCTAGACTCTACAGCCAGGCGGCCAGGATTCAACTCCCTGCCTGGATCTCACCAGCACTTTCCCTCTGTTTCCTGACCTATGAAACAGAGAAAATAACATCACTTATTTATTGTTGTTGGATGCTGCAAAGTGTTAGTAGGTATGAGGTGTTTGCTGCTCTGCCACGTAGAGAGCCAGCAAAGGGATCATGACCAACTCAACATTCCATTGGAGGCTATATGATCAAACAGCAAATTGTTTATCATGAATGCAGGATGTGGGCAAACTCACGACTGCTCCTGCCAACAGAAGGTTTGCTGAGGGCATTCACTCCATGGTGCTCATTGGAGTTATCTACTGGGTCATCTAGAGCCTATTGTTTGAGGAATGCAGTCTTACAAGCCTACTCTGGACCCAGCAGCTGACTCCTTCTTCCACCCCTCTTCTTGCTATCTCCTATACCAATAAATACGAAGGGCTGTGGAAGATCAGAGCCCTTGTTCACGAGAAGCAAGAAGCCCCCTGACCCCTTGTTCCAAATATACTCTTTTGTCTTTCTCTTTATTCCCACGTTCGCCCTTTGTTCAGTCCAATACAGGGTTGTGGGGCCCTTAACAGTGCCATATTAATTGGTATCATTATTTCTGTTGTTTTTGTTTTTGTTTTTGTTTTTGTTTTTGAGACAGAGTCTCACTCTGTCACCCAGGCTGCAGTTCACTGGTGTGATCTCAGCTCACTGCAACCTCTGCCTCCCAGGTTCAAGCACTTCTCGTACCTCAGACTCCCGAATAGCTGGGATTACAGACAGGCACCACCACACCCAGCTAATTTTTGTATTTTTTGTAGAGACGGGGTTTCGCCAAGTTGACCAGCCCAGTTTCAAACTCCTGACCTCAGGTGATCTGCCTGCCTTGGCATCCCAAAGTGCTGGGATTACAAGAATGAGCCACCGTGCCTGGCCTATTTTATTATATTGTAATATATTTTATTATATTAGCCACCATGCCTGTCCTATTTTCTTATGTTTTAATATATTTTAATATATTACATGTGCAGTAATTAGATTATCATGGGTGAACTTTATGAGTGAGTATCTTGGTGATGACTCCTCCTGACCAGCCCAGGACCAGCTTTCTTGTCACCTTGAGGTCCCCTCGCCCCGTCACACCGTTATGCATTACTCTGTGTCTACTATTATGTGTGCATAATTTATACCGTAAATGTTTACTCTTTAAATAGACATTTCTGGTCTGTGTTTTATTTCATGCGTCTGGGAGCGGATAAAGTGTGAGGTTCAGAGAGAAGGAGAGGTCTGTCTCAATGCCTTGACCCAGCATCAAAGCAATCTCCCCTCCTTGTTCCCTTTCCCTGCTAGTTCCCAATGACTGACAGATTCACAGCAGAACAGAAAGGACTGGGAAGGGATGGAGGTGGGACATCTGGCGCCAATATTCAGGGGCTGACCCTGTGAGGGAACATCTGCCCTGAAGAGTTGGAGCCTTCATGTGATGACACAGAGATCTCTGTCACTGTATTCAGGGAAAGGATCAAGCCTCACTCCTCATGCAGGGAGGAGGTTCTGGCTGTGATCCGGCCTGTGGGAGAAGTGAGGACCCGCTCCCTCTACAGTGACAGCCAAGAACCTGCAGGTGACAGAGAAGGCTTCCCCTCAACTGTCTCCTATCAGGTTCTTCCAGGCATCAAGGAATAGACCTGGGACATTGCCTCCAGTGACATGAACACACCCAGAAGTGAGGTGGCCCTGCCAGGGGGTCCTGGTGCTGCCACTTGTTTTGGGAGCTCAGTGTCTGGAGAGGGGTGTGGAGAGTAGGCTTTCTGCAAAACAGTAATCATGACCTATAAATTATTTTATACTTCATTAGCTTTTTGCCATAAAATAAAACAGGTACCCAAAAAGAAAAACTGTCTGAAAATGTTGCCCTTTAATAATAATAATAAATAATAATAATAAAAGATAAACACCCTTTAACCACCAGAGATATAGAAGTTTGTCAGCCAGCCCAGAAACCATCATTTGCCCCAGCTCAGTGATAAAGGCTTCCCTTCCCCACATAAAATCACAGCCTGACCTTTATGATGATTGCTTCTTTGTTCTATTTTATATTTTCATCCTCTGAAATTGTAGTTTAGTTTTACCTTGGGATGTATAATTTTTGTTCTCTTTTTTCTTTTTTTTTTTAAGACGGAGTCTCACTCTGTCACCCAGGCTGGAGTGCAGTGGCATGATCTCGGCTCACTGCAAGCTCCGCCTCACGGGTTCATGCGATTCTCCTGCCTCAGCCTCCCGAGTAGCTGGGACTACAGGCGTCTGCCACCACGCCCAGCTAATTTTTTTGTATTTTTAGTAGAGACAGGGTTTCACCATGTTAGCCAGGATGGTCTCAATCTCCTGACCTCATGATCTGCCTGCCTCGGCCTCCCAAAGTGCTGGGATTACAGGCGTGAGCCACCGCACCTGGCCTGTTCTCTTTTTTTCTCTATGCTCCTCCTTGAAATTTTATTGTCTGGCTGAGTTTTCCATAGTTTGCATTTTGCTGGCTCCACCCCAAGGCATAGTTTAATATGGACCTGTTTTATCTGTACTTTCTACAAATTGGTAGTTGGCTACAGAGATTTGCTTATAGACTGACTTGATTTTCTTCTTGAATACTTCATTTATGGCACTCCATTGTATTCTTCCATCAGGAGGAAGAACTTAGTACTGGTTATTTACTTCTACTCTACTTTTAATTGCCATTGCTTTTCAATGGCTAAATCTGTTAATTCGTTATGGGTTGCAAAAGAATTATAGTCTCAGTCTCTCATTCCTTCCCCATTCACTAGCTGAATAATTTCTAAAATAAGAGATTTACCCTTGGCTGGATGCGGTGACTTACGCCTGTAATCCCAGCACTTGGGGAGGCCGAGGCTGGTGGATCACCTGAGGTCGGGAGTTCAAGACCATCCTGACCAACATGAAGAAACTGTGTCTCTACTAAAAACACAAAACTAGCCGGGAGTGGTGGCGCATGCCTGTAATCCCAGCTACTCGGGAGGCGGAAGTAGGAGAATTGCTTGAACCGGGAAGGCGGAGGTTGCAGTGAGCCGAGATGGCGCCATTGCACTCCAGCCTGGGCATCAAGAGTGAAACTCCGTCTCAAAATAAATAAATAAATAAAGTGGAGCACTTGACGGCCATGGGAGAGAATCGGCTATGACCACACACAGCAAGATGATGAGCCCAACAAAGATGATGAGCCCGACTACATGAAAACAACTTCTAATTTCATTCAATCAGAACCAACAGAACTCATCTACAGTGTTAAAAATCAAGACAGTGGCTACTCTAGGGTGGGGGAGGCTGGTTTATGACTCAACGGTGTTTCTTGGAGGGTGAAAATGATGTTGCTTGATGAAGGTGTTGTTTATCCGAGTTTTTACTTGGGCAAAACCCACTGCCCACCTGTGATTCGTCCACCTTTCTCCATGCATGTTGTCCTTCATTCAAGTTTACATTTCTGGTGTTTTGAAACAATTCTCTCTAAGCTAATATAGAATTTCTCCTACTCCAAGTCCTTAGAAATGCTGCATTGAAAATACCAGTGAATTTTTTTTTAATTCCAGGAAATAAATGCCCATGACTCAGATATAAAAAGGAGAATCTACAAGAGCAGTAGGCTTGGGAGCTGACACCAGAACAGCTTTGGAAAGGGCTGTCGAGCCAGGAACTAGGAATCAAAACCCAAACAAGACCACAGGAGGTAGAGGGTAGAAATTATGCCCCAGTAGTGCATGAATGAATGAATCAAGGGCAGTGACTCATGGGTTGCCTGGCCAGTCTGGAACTTGGGGAAAATAAAGTTGGAAAATTGGCGGATGGAAGAGAGAAGTGTGCACTGACCACTTTCCATGGGAAGAGCATGTGAAGATAGAGGTTGCATATGGATGCCTGCCAGAGGGTCTCCAAGGGGCTGGGGCTCCCTGTAACCAGGTGAGCGAGATGGCTTGATGGATGATGCCACTCAGCCGCACAAGGCTTGCTCATGAGTCCCTGCACAAAGTGGCCGTGGTGGCTGGGATGGACACTGCATTGACAGAGCAATTGAGTCACCACTCACCAAGGCTGACCTGGCAGCTGCCACTGCTGAGGACCCAGCCTGCCAAAAGCAGCTGTTTCTTTGAACAGAGAAAAAAAACAGACAATGTTAATTAAGAGCAAGACAGTGTTATGACAGATAAATATGCCACTGCAGCTATAGTAGAGATGTAAACAATCTTGAAATTATAAAAAAAAATGTCGATGGAAAAGACTTACTGCAAGTAAGAAGTTAAAACAGTTGTAAAAATTCTATCTCTGCCCAACTATATACAGATTGTTTCACAGGGAAGTCCTACTAAACCTTCAAAGAAGGTTATTGGACTTATTTAAAATATTCAAGAGAATGGAGCAAAATACAGAAAGCTAGGCAACTCACTTTATCAGCTATGAATAGTGTTAATTCTAAAGCCAGTTAGGGAACAAATAATAAAGAAACAAGATAGGAAAATCACTATTAGTAATTAGATGTAAAATAGATGAGAAAAATAGTAGACTGTGTCCATCAGTGTGCTATAAACAAATTAAATATCTTGACCAAGTTATGAATCCCAAGAATAAAAGAATATTTAAACTTTAAATCTTTTAATGCATTTTAACACTTAATTCAATAATTTAAAAAGAGACAATCATATTTCACTAGATGTAGAAATCACTGTAGATGAAATCTAACACTACACCTGACCTACATTTCTTCAGTTATCTCCACTTTTAAGAATTTGTGATCAGTGCAGCACTATTCACAATAGCAAAGGTAAGGAATCAACCCAGATGCCCATCAACAGTGGAATGGATAAAGAAAACTGCGGCACAGGGCCAGGCGCGGTGGCTCACGCCTGTAATCCCAGCACTTTGGGAGGGTGAGGCAGGCAGATCACGAAGTCAGGAGTTCGAGACCATCCTGGCTAACACAGTGAAACCCCGTCTCTACTAAAAATACAAAAAATTAGCCGGGTGTGGTGGCGGGCACCTGTAGTCCCAGCTACTCGGGAGGCTGAGGCAGGAGAATGGCATGAACCCAGGAGGTGGAGTTTGCAGTGAGCCGAGATCACGCCACTGCACTCCAGCCTGGGTGACAGAATGAGACTCCGTCTCAAAAAAAAAATAAAAGAAAAGAAAACTGCAGCACTTATACACCATGGTACGCTACCCAGCCAAAAAAACAAGAACGAAATCATGTCCTTCACAGCAACATGGATGGAGGTGGAGACCATTATTCTAAGCAAATTAATGTAGGAACAGAAAGCCAAATACCACATATTCTCACCTATAAGTGGCAGCTAAACATTGAGTACACATGGACACAAAGAAGGGAACAATAGACACTGGGGCCTCCTTGAGGGTGGAGGGTGGGAGGAGGGGGAGGATTAAAAAACTACCTATTGGGTATTGTGCTGATTACCTGAGTAACAAAATTATCTGCACACCAAACACCCGTGATACACAATTTACCCATGTAACAAACCTGAATATGTATCCCTTGAACCTAAAAAATCAAAAAGAAAAAAGTAAAAAAGAATTCCTGATCAGATTGAGCCAGGACAATGGCCGGGCGTGGTGGCTCACGCCTGTAATCCCAGCACTTTGGGAGGCCGAGGCAGGTGGTCAGGGTAGGCCTCTTGGAGGAGCCATGTGAGCAGACTTGAGAAGGAGAGACACAGCCATGCAGATATTTGAAGGAAGAACCTTCCAGTATCCCGCTCTAAGCATACCCAGGACTCTGCTCTGGGGCAGACCCTAAAGCTGCAGTGGAAATGGAGGTGGCCACACTCACAGAGACTGTGGCAGAGAGTGATGGGGATTTGGGTCTCCCCTTCCTGCTGTGGCTGTTAGAAGTGCTGGAGTTGGGGAGGGAAAGGCACTGGCATGTGGAGGAAGACTAGGAGAGGAGGGGAGGCTGAAGTGTGTCCCACTCTCACTCCACCTCTCTGTTCTCTATCTCCTGCATCCGGTGCCTCCCCGACTTCCCCAAAGTTGTGGTCCCTGACAAGGAAGACCCTGAGGGCAACCACACCTTGCCATGTAGAGCACCTGGCTTCTCACTTGCCAACATCACTCTGACCTGGCTGCAGGAAGGGGAGGAGCCAACTCTGGACTCAAGACTCAAGGGGACCAGACCCAGGAAGATGAGACTTATCAGGGCTGGGCAGCTGTGGGGGGCCCTCCCAGAGAAGGCCTGAGATACACCTGCCTGCAGGTGCTCCTGGGCCTGGAGAAGCCCCTCAGTGTGACTAGGTGAGGTGTTGTCAGAGGACCAGAGGCTGAGGGTGGGGCGTCCCATCCAGATCCTGCCCCTCTCTCTGCCCCAGCACCCAAGGCCCCTTCCTCCCTCCTCTATGGAGATGCTGGGGATGTCCTCATTCTCCCTCTGAGCACTCACATCTCACCCCTCATCTGTCTCTCTAACCTCCTTCCTTCCTGCTGCAGCTTCTGCCCCAGCCCCAGGCTCTGGCCTCTCTCTCCCCAGTTCCACCCTCCAGGGGGTGATGGTTCACTTCCCTCTGAGGAGCCAGCACTAGGTGAGAGGCTAGGAGAAGGAAAAGCTCATGGGCCATGGGTTGGGAGGGAGAATGGGCACTGAAATGGAAGGGTAGGGAGACAGAAGAGGCAGGTATTTCCAAATCACCATTTTTCTGTCATGGTCCAAGGGTGCCATCCTTCTCCCAGGCCCAGGGATGTGGAAAGAGCAGCAGGAATTGGGAAATACTCCACAGGAAAGAACAATGTGCCTCCTCCCTCCACCGGCTTCTTCCTCTTGCCTATTCTGGTCAATTCTCTAAGTGAATCATGTAACCAAAATGTGAAATGTTTATTTTAGGAAAGTCTCCAAATATTAGGGAATAAAATTACTAGTGCCTAAGCCCTGCATACTGAAAAACAGAAGCTTTAAGAAATAAAGACCTGCATGGAAAATTGCTCATCAAGTCGGGGAAGTCAAAGTCTGAGCTGAATCAGCTCTTTTTTTCTTTCTCTCTTTTTTTTTTTTTTTTTTTTTTTTTTTTTTTTTTGAGACGGAGTCTTGCTCTGTCGCCCAGGCTGGAGTGCAGTGGCATGATCTCAGCTCACTGCAACCTCTGCCTCCCCGACTCAAGCAATTCTCCTGTCTCAGGCTCCCAAGTAGCTGGGATTACAGGCATGAGCCACCATGCCCAGCTAATTTTTGTATTTTTCAGCAGAGACGAGGTTTCGCCATGTTGGCCAGGCTGGTCTCAAACTCCTGACCTCAGGTGATCCGCCTGCCTCAGCCTGCCAAAGTTCTGGGATTACAGGCATGAGCCACCATGCCCAGCTGAATCAGCTCTAAAGTGGTGCTGAAGTGAGAGCCATTTATGTGCCTGTGTGAGTTCACACAGGTCTTGAGACCTCTGTGTCCTCCTTAGAAGAGTGAAGTGAGCACCCAGTGCCTAGACCTTGGTTGTGCTAAGTCATTCTCTGATAAAAGGATTCAGGGCTCCATAGAAAAACAGCTGATTCTAGGGCTGGCATAGGAAAAATATAAGGTGAGCCTGGAACATCTTGTAATGCCAGAAAGTAACCGCCACCCATCTCCCAACCCTCACCACCAAAAAATAAGGGCATGTCAGAGGGACACAGGAGTCAGCCTGAAAGAGCTCCCTATGGACAAAGCCGGAATAATCCGAGCAACAAAGTTACAATAGTATTGGATTATGACCCAAAATATAAATAAATATTCATTCCACACTGATTTATTTAATCAAAAATAATTAAATAAATAAATAGGGAAGAAGGGGCAAATCTTCCTTACAGAAGAATTTCAAAACATATATTACGAGAATCTCTTTCCCAGGAGATTGGAATTTTATTTCTCTCACCTTGAATATGGGCTGGACTTGCTGACTTGCTTCCAAAGACTAGAGTATGAAAAAGGAAAAATAATAACTTTACAGTGGAGAAATGTAGCAGACACTACCAAGCAATCAGAGTCATGTTAACATCTTGCCCCCCAGAAATGATGTGATGAGGACACTCCCCTCTATGGTATTCTTCCCTTAAACCCATAACCCCAATCTAATCATAAGGAAGCATCAGGCAAACCCAAAGTGAGGGACATCCTACAAATTATCTATCCAGTATTCTTCAAAACTTTCAAGGTCATGAAAACAGGTAAAGACTGAGAAACTCATGATCAGAAAGACTAGGGAGACCCAAAAGCTAAATGCATTAATGGGCCCTGGAAAAACTGGTGAAGTCCAAATAAAGTCTACAGTTTAGCGAATAGTATTATAGCAATGTTAATTTCTTAGTTTCTTAGTCTTGACAGAATTTTGTTAGATGTTAACATTAAGGAAAGCTGGGGTTTATGGAAACTCTGTGTTCTAGCTTTGCAACTCTTTAAATCTATTATTGTTATTGTTATTGGGTTTTTTTGTTTGTTTTGTTTTTGTTTTTTTTTGAGATGGAGTCTCGCTCTGTCGCCCAGGCTGGAGTGCAATGGCGCGATCTCAGCTCACTGCAACCTCCACCTCCTGGGTTCAAGCAATTGCCCTGCCTCAGCCTCCCCAGTAGCTGGGATTCCAGGCACCCATCACCATGCTCGGCTAGTTTTTGTATTTTTAGTAGAGATGGGGTTTCGCCATGTTGGCCAGGGTGGTCTCGAACTCCCGACCTCAGGTGATCTGTCCGCCTCGGCCTCCCAAAGTTAAATCTATTATTATTCAAAACAAATTTAACTAAAAGTGAAATGAAGCTAGGTACAGTAGCTCATGCCTGTAATCCCAGCCCTTTGGGAGGCCAATTTAAGCCCAGGAGTTTGAGAGAAGCCTGGGCAACATAGTGAGACCTTGTCTTATAAAAAAAATTAATTTAAAAAATGAAATGAATAGACATATATTAAATTAAATCGATAATTAATAACATTCAGAAACAGAAAACATCAGCCCCAAATGGGTTTACTGATAAATTCTATCAAACATTTAAGGAAAAAATTATACCAATTTTCTATAATCTCTTCCAGAAGACATACTTTCTTTTGTTGTTGTTGTTATTCAGTGTTAATTTCATAATCATAAACTTAATGCTGCAATCCAGCTAGGCATGGAAGGGAACAAGGAAAACATGAAACCCAAAGGGAACTGCAGTGAGAGCACAAAGATTCTAGATACTGCGAGCAGATGGATGGAGGGTGCTCTCCTGAGCTACAGAAGCAATGGTCTAGTGGTTAAGATAAAACACAAGTCAGGCCGGGCGCGGTGGCTCACACCTGTAATTCCAGCACTTTGGGAGGCTGACGCAGGTGGGATCACCTGAGGTCAGGAGTTCAAGACCAGCCTGACCAACACGGAGAAACCCCGTCTCTACTAAAAATACAGAATTAGCCAAGTGTGGTGGCGCATGCCTGTAATCCCAGCTACTCGGGAGGCTGAGGCAGGAGAATCGCCTGAACTCAGGAAGCAGAGGTTGCAGTGAGCCGAGATGGCGCCATTGCACTCCAGCCTGGCAACAAGAGCGAAACTTAGTCTCAAAAAAAAACACAAGTCAAACTTAGTCAAGTTGTGTACAGTCAGCGATGGTGATCTTCTTGATGGTCTTGCCATTCCCAGACCCAAAGTGCTCCATGGCCTCCACAATATTCATGCCATCTTTCACCTTGCCAAAGACCATGGGCTTGCCATCCAACCACTCAGTCTTGGCAGTGCAGATGAAAAACTGGGAATTGCCCGGGCTAGGTGGCTCATGCCGTAATCCCAGCACTTTGGGAGGCCGAGATGGGCAGATCACCTGAGGTCAGGAGTTCAAGACCAGCCTGACCAACATGGTGAAACCCCGTCTCTAATAAAAATACAAATATTAGCCAGGCATGGTGGTGCATGCCTGTAATCCCAGCTACTCAGGAGGCTGAGGCAGGAGAATTGCTTGAACCTGGGAGGCGGAAGTTGCAGTGAGCCAAGATCGCGCCACTGCACTCCAGCCTGGGCGACAGAGTTAAGACTCCATCTCAAAAAAAAGAGAAAAAAGAAAAACCGGGAATCATTTGTGTTGGGTCCAGCATTTGCCATGGACAAGATGCCAGGACCTGTATGCTTTAGGATGAAGTTCTCATCATCAAATTTCTCCCCGTAGATGGACTTGCCACCAGTGCCATTATGGCGTGTGAAGTCACCACCCTGACACATAAACCCTGGAATAATTCTGTGAAAGGAGGAACATTTATAATCAAATCCTTTCTCTCCAGTGCTCAGAGCACGAAAGTTTTCTGCTGTCTTTGGAAACTTGTCTGCAAACAGCTTGAAGGAGACACAGCCCAAGGGCTCACCATTGACAGCGATGTTGAAGGACACGGTGGGGTTGACCATGGCTGATAGTATGGGGCTCCTGATGGTGGCGTCTGCAAAGCCAAGACAGACACTTTCTATCTCATTTCATGAGGCCAGGATTCCATGAGGGAATACTTTCTAACTAATTCCATGAGGCCAGCATTAGCCAAATACCAAAATCAGATGAAGACTTCACAAAAAAAGAAAACCACAGACCAATATCTCTCATGAACATAGGTGCAAAAATCCTCAGCAAAATGCTAGCAAATCAAATCCACAATGTATGAGAAGAACAATACACCATGCCTAAGTAAGATTTATCCCAGGTATGCAAAGTTACTTCAACATTGGAAAATCAGTTAATGTAATCCATTAAATCAACTGGCTAAAGAAGAAAATCACATGATCATATCAATAGAGGCAGAAAAAGCAATTGACAACATCCAACACCCATTCATGATGATTAAAAAAAAAAAATCTCTTAGCAAGCTAGGAATAGAGAAGACCTTACTCAACTTGATAAACAACATCCACAAAACATCCACAGCTAACATCACACTTAATGGTGAGAAACTAAAAGCTTGCCTGCTAAGATCAGAACAAGGCAGGAATGACCCTCTCAACACAGCTTTTCAACGTTGTACTGGAAGTCCTAGCTAAAGTAGTAAGACAAGAAAAGGAACTAAAAGGTATACAAATTTGGAACAAGAAATAAAACTGTCTTTGTTTACAGATGATATGATTGTCTATGTAGAAAATCAAAAAGAATCCACACATAAAAAACTCCTGGAACTAACAAGCAATTATAGCAAGGTTGCAGGATATAAAGTTAATATGTAAAAGCCAATCATTTTTCTATGTATCAGCAATGAGCATGTAGAATTCGCCATTTAATTTTTTTTTTTCAAGACGGAGTCTTGTTCTGTCGCCCAGGCTAGAGTGCAGTGGCGCGATCTCAACTCACTGCAACCTCCTCCTCCCAGGTTCAAGCAATTCTCCTGCCTCAGCCTCCTGAGTAGCTGGGATTACAGGTGTGCCCCACCATGCCCAGCTAATTTTTGTGTTTTTAGTAGAGACGGGGTTTTACCATGTTGGCCAGGCTGATCTCGAACTTCTGACCTCATGTTCTGCCTGCCTCAGCCTCCCAAAGTGCTGGGATTACAGGCGTGAGCCACCGTGCCTGGTCCAGAATTTGCCATTTAAAACACAATACCACTTACATTAGCACCCCCAAAAATGAAACACTTAGGTACAAATCTAAGAAAATATGTACAAGATCTATATGAACAAAACTACAAAACTGACAAAAGAAATCAAAGAACTAAACAAATGGAGAGATATTCCATGTTCATAGTCAGGAAGGCTCAATACTGTTAATATATCTGTTCTTTCCAACTTGATCTGTGGAATGAATGCAATCTCAATAAAAAACCTCAGTAAGTTATTTTGTGGATATTAACAAACTGATTCAAACTTTATATGGTGAGGCAAAAGACCTAGCCAGCACAATATAGGAGAAAAATAAAGTCAAAGACCACCACTACCTGACTTAGACTTTCTATAAAGCCATAGTAATCAAGACAGAGTGGTGATTAGCATAGCCATTGTGGGAAACAGTATGGAGGTTCTGCAAAAATTTTAAAAATAGAAATACCACATGATCCAGCAATCCCACTAATGGGTATATATCCAAAGGATACGAAATCAGTACGTTGAGATATTTGCACTCCCATATTCATTGCATCATTATTCTTTTTTTTTTTTTTTCCTTTAGAGATAGAGTCTATGTTGCCCAGGGCAACTCCTGGCCTCAAGCGATCCTGCTGTCTCAGCTTCCCAATTATCTGGGATTATAAGCACGAGACACTGCACCTGGCTGCAGCATTATTCTCAATAGCCAAGATATAGAATCCACCTAAGTGTCCATCAATGGATGAATGGATAAAGAAAATGTGGTATATATAAAAAATGGAATACTATTCAGCCTTAAAAAACAAAATCCTGTCATTTGTGACAACATGGATGAACCTGGAAGACATTATGTTAAGTGAAATAAGCCAGGCACAGAAAGACAAATACAATCTCACTTATATGTGGAGTATAGAAAAAGCCAGACTCATAAATAGAGAGTAAACTGGTGGTTATCAGAGGCTGGGAGGTCGGGGAATTGGGGAGATGTTAGTCAAAGAACACAAGATTTCAGTTAGGAAGAATAAGTTCAAGAGATCTATTGTACCTTATGGTGACTAAACTTAATAACAACATATTGTGTATTTCAAAATAGTATGAGAATAGCTTTAAGCATTCTCATCACATACACACAAAATATGTATGTGAGGTAATGTACATATTATTAAATTGTTTGGTTTATCCATTCCACAATGTGTGTGTATGTATGTGCATATATATATAAACATGATGTACACCACAAATGTATAAAATTAGTCAATCAAAAAATTAATTTTAGAAAGACAGAGTGGCATTGGCAAAGAATAGACAAATTGATCCACTTGAGCAGAATAGAGAGCCAAGAAATAGTCCCACATAAATACAAGGAGCAAAGACAATACAATAAAGATAGTCTTTTCAGCAAATGCTGCTGGAACAACTGGACAGCTATGTACAAGAAAAATGAAAAGAGCTCTCTTAAAAGGTTACTGTGAAAGCCACCTGTGACAGTAACAGAAAGTGCCCAGCAGGGTCTCTGACACTTAGTAATGTAATCTCTCTCACTGTAATGTAATGGCTAAACTTCAACATCCCTCAGCCCCCATCTCCATAAGACTTTCCCATAGAGGCAACAATGATTCCTGTCAGTCACCCAGTCCTGCCAATCCACTGGGTAGGATACAATATTGAGGGGCCCATCAGCACACTGGCCTTAGGGGGCTCTGCAGCCCCTTGACCTTGTGGATGATGCTGGCCTTAATCTCCTCTTGTCCGTGGCTAAAGACAGGCCCCTTCTGCGGAGACCAGGCCAGAATGCTCATCTGATTAAGACTCTATATTAAGAGTCAGGAATAACAAAAACAACAATAAATAAATAAACACAGTAACATAATCTATGTGTCTTAGTCCGTTTCCTGCCGCTATAACAGAATACTACAGACTGGGTAATTTATTTTGTTGTTTTTTCAGACAGGGTCTCTCTCTGTCGCTCAGACTGGAGTGCAGTGGCATGATCTCAACTCACTGCAACCTCCACCTCCCAGACTCAAGTGATCCTCCCACCTCAGCCTCCTAAATAACTGGGACCACAGACCCGCACGACCACACCAGCTAATTTTTGTGTTTTTTTGTAGAGATGGGTTTTGCCATGTTGCCCAGGCTGGTCTCAAACTCCTGGGCTCAAGCCTTCCACCCACCTTGGCCTCCCAAAGTGCTGGGATTACAGGCTTGAGCCACCACACCCAGCACAGACTGGGTAATTTATAAAGACAATAAATGTTTTTCCCACAGAGCTGGAGGCTGAGAAGTCCAAGAGCATGACACTGGCATCTTATGAGGGCCTGGCTGCAGTATCATCCCATAGTGAGAGGTGGAAGGGCAAAGAGGCTGAACTGATTTCTATCATGCCATACAATGGCATTAATCTATTCAATCTAATCAACCCTGAAAGGTCCCACATCGGCTGGGCACGGTGGCTCATGCCTGTAATCCCAGCACTTTGGGAGGCCAAGGCAGGTGGATCACCTGAGGTCAGGAGTTCAAGACCAGCCTGACCAATATGATGAAACCCCGTCTCTACTAAAAATACAAAAATTAGCTGGGCGTGGTGGCATGTGCCTGTAATTCCAGCTACTCAGGAGGCTGAGACAGGAGAATCACTTGAACATGGGAGGCGGAGGTTGCAGTGAGCTGAGATTGTGCCATTGCACTCCAGCCTGGGCAACAAGAGCGAAACTCCATCTCAAAAAAAGAAAAAAAAAAAGTCTTGCATCTTAATACCATTAGGATAGCAATTAAATGTCAACATGAGTTTTGGTGGGGACATTCCACTTTTGCACTAGGTATTCTGGTTTATGTATTTTTTTAGCTTAATTCCTTCATTTCTACAATTATGAGATCCACGATTATCCACTATATTTGGTTTTCTTTCTTTTTGGTTTTGTTTTTTGTTTTTTGAGACAAGAGTCTCGCTCTGTCGCCAGGCTGGAGTGCAGTGGCATGATCTCAGCTCACTGTAACCTCTGGCTCCCGGGTTCAAGTGATTCTCCTGCCTCAGCCTCCCGAGTGGCTGGGACTACAGGTGTGCACCACCATGCCCGGCTAATTTTTGTATTTTTAGTAGAGACGGGGTTTCACCATGTTGGCCAGGATGGTCTCGATCTCTTGACCTCATGATCCGCCCGCCTCGGCCTCCCAAAGTGCTGAGATTACAGGTGTGAGCCACTGCGCCTGGCCTCATCCACTATATTTGAACCGACCCAAAGGCCAGTGCTTTCTTAATTAAGTTCCCACAGGTGAACAAAGCCAAAATTCAGATTCTATTTTATTTATGGTTTAGAATTACCTACTGTGAAAAAAAAAAAAACTAGCTACTATAAATTATTGGGGGTTAGTCCATTTAGTCCATTTTGGAGTTCATAACCTAAAGCAGAAACTCACATGGTTGAAATGTCACTTTCCCAAAGGATTGTTATTAGTGTATCATTTAGATTGTCTTGCAAAAGTCTCATTTGTTGTTTTTTCTAAATGGCTGCTAATCTTTTAAATTAACAGATAGAGGGCCAGGCACGGTGGTTCACACCTGTAATCCCAGCACTCTGGGAGGCTGAGGCAGTCGGATCACTTGAGGCCAGGTGTTCAAGACCAGCCTGGCCAACATGGTGAAACCCTGCCTGTACTAAAAATACAAAAATTAGCTCGGCATAGTGGCACACGTCTGTAATCCCAGCTTCTTGGGAGGCAGAGGCATAAGAATTGCTTGAACCCGGCAAGCGGAGGTTCCAGCAAGCAGAGATTGTGCCATTGCACTCCAGCCTGGGTGACAGAGCATTGCTCTGTCCACCTCCCAAAAATGTAGTTAATTTTTTTTCTTTTCTTTTTTTTTTTTTTTTTTTTTGAGAGACGGAGTCTTGCTCTGTCGCCCAGGCTGGAGTGCAGTGGCACAATCTCAGCTCACTGCAACCTCCGCCTCCCAGGTTCAAGCAATTCTCCTGCCTCAGCCTCACAAGTAGCTGGGATTACAGGTGGCTACCACCACGCTTAGCTAATTTTTTGTATTTTTAGTAGAGACGGGGTTTCATCATGTTCGCCAGGCTAGTCTTGAACTCCTGACCTTAAGTGATCCCCCCGCCTCGGCCTCCCAAAGTGCCGGGATTACAAGCATGAGCCACTGCGCCCGGCCAACTTTCAATGTTAATTAGTTGTGGATTGTTTAACCATATACTGCATAGTTTCGCTTATCTATAATAACAGTAGTTTGGGGCTCTTATATTCTAATAATTAAGACTTTAGCTGTGTACACATTGCAATTAAAGTATGAGTCATGCATAACCTTATCACCAAGATACAAGAGGGAAAGCCCTTCTCCCCTAAAACTTTTACAAAGGTTCTGGGTTCTTTTTCCACTTAAGTGGGAAAAAGTCAGCTAATGAGGAACGTAAAGTCTTTGGCCTCATCTAAAGGTGCTTTGGCCCGCAAGTGTGAGAAGCACTGACCGCTGGGAAGTCCTCACTGCCTGGTTCCTGGACTCTTACACCATGGCAGAGGCCATCTTCCCTCCCAATGCAGAGTGATATCCAGATAGCGAGCTGGCTAGCAGCTGTCCACTCTCCAGCAATCCTGCCTTCTGGGGCATGGTTTTCTAAGGACCTTCCTGTTCCTAGATGATCAAAATTGGGACCAGCCACTCCCTTCTGAGCCACTCCTGCCTCTGGGCCTGTGGCTATGTCACAGTCCAGTCACAACAGGACATCCCTTCAGAACACCCTGCAGGAAGCTGACATCTCTATGCAGACTCACACATGCACGGTGTGTGCACAGGCCTTTGGTTCTACTTCAGGAGGTGTTGGGGGAGGCTCACTAGTCCAACAGAACTTGAGGCCAGTTGTACCAGTGTCATATCCCAGGAGCCAAGGTTACAAGGGATACAAAGTGCCCAGACCTACCAGAGAAGGCAAACCCCTACAGCATGCAGGGCTAGACAGGGGCGAGAAACAAGGTCATTCTGGGCCAGCAAGAAGAGGGAAAGGGAAATGACAGGCATACCTCGGAGATACTGAAGATTTGTTTCCAGACCATAGCAACAAAGTGAGTCACACAAACTTTTTAGTTTCCTATTGTGCATAAAAGTTATGTTTGTACTATATTGTAGTCTGTTAAGTGTACAGTAGCATTGTGTACAAAAAACTGTGTATATACTTAATGGAGTCTCGCTCTGTCACCCAGGCTGGAGTGCAGTGCCACGATTTTGGCTCACTGCAACCTCCGCCTCCTGAGTTCAAGCCATTCTCCTGCTCAGCCTCCCAAGTAGCTGGGACTACAGGTGCCCATCACCATGCCCAGCTAATTTTTGTATTTTTAGTAGAGATGAGGTTTCACCATGTTGGCCAGGCTAATCTTGAACTCCTGACCTCAAGTGATCCACCCACCTCGGCCTCCCAAAGTGCTGGGATTACAGGCGTGAGCCACTGTATCTGGCCATATACTTTAATTTTAAAATACTTAATTGCTAAACAAATGCTAACAATCATATGAGGCTTCAGCTAATCCTGATCTTTTTGCTGGGGGAGGGTCTTGCCTCCATGGATCAGGGGCATGGCTGCTGAAGGCTGCTTTGACAACTTCTTAAAATAAGACAATGATGTTTGCCATTTGCCGCATGGATTATTCCTTTCAATATTGTTGTGCCTCAGGGAATAGGGAGGCCTGGAAAGCAGAGTCGGGAGAATGGCCAGTTGGTGAAGCAGTCACAACACACACATTTTTCCATTAAGTTTGCTGTCTTATATGAGCATCGCTCATGGTGTCCCAAAACAATCACAATAGTTAACTTCAGTAACTGATTACAGGTCACTGTAACAAGTATAATAATGAAAACGCTTGAAACATTTTGAGAATTCCACAGCGTGACATGGAGACATGATGTCTGCCTGCTGTTGGGAAAATAGCACCAATAGACCTGTTTGATGTGCTTGACACAGGGTTGCCACAAGCCTCCAATCTCTAAATAAAAAACAGCATCTGCAAAGAGCAATAAAGGGAAGCACAATAAAAGGTACATCTGCAAAGGGGAATCAGCACTTAAGCAAGGTCAGGATGAGCTTTCAAGTCAGGTGGACCTAGACATGAACCCTCCAGGCCCTACCAACAACCAGCTGTGGACCTTCGAGCACATCCAGCCTAGAGCTGCCCCCAACAGACACTTCCCCAGTGAATGCTGAATGAAACCATCTGAGCCAGTTTCCTCAGGTGCAAACCAGTGAGGTAATTCCTACCTTGCAGAGTGAAGTGAGAAAACAGTGTTAAGAAAAAGGCATGCCGGGTGCGGTGGCTCACGCCTGTAATCCCAGCACTTTGGGAGGCCAAGACGGGCGGATCACGAGGTCAGGAGATCGAGACCACCCTGGCTAATACGGTGAAACCCCGTCTCCACTAAAAATACAAAAAATTAGCCGGGCGTAGTGGCGAGCACCTGTAGTCCCAGCTACTCGGGAGGGTGAGGCAGGAGAATGGCGTGAACCCGGGAGGCAGAGCTTGCAGTGAGCCCAGATTGCGCCACTGCACTCCAGCCTGGGCAACAGAGCGAGACTCCGTCTCAAAAAAAAAAAAAAAAAAAGACACAAGACCTGTGGTAGCCTTTCCTTTCTGTCTGGCAGCAGCCACTGGGTAAACCAAGATGGTGCATACAAGTACATCCAGAAGCTATGGAAGAAGCAGTCTGATGTCATGAGCTTTCTTCTGAGGGTCCGCTGCTGGCAGTACCACCAGCTCTCTGCTCTCCACAGGGATCCCCGCCCCACCCAGCCCAATAAAGCACGCTACTGGGCTACAGCCAAGCAAGGTTATGTTACATATAAGCGCCACGGTGGCTGAAAATCTAGTTCCTAAGAAGGCAACTTAACAGCAAGCCTGTCTATCATGGTGTTAACCAGCTAGTTTGCTTAAAGCCTTCAGTCTGTTACAGAAGAGCAAGCTGGATGCCACTGTGGGGCTCTGAGTCCTGAATTCTCACTGGGCTGGTTAAAGATTCCACATACAAAGTTTTTGAGGCTATCCTAGTTGATCCATTCCATAACACTATCAGAAGGAAACCTGACACCCAGTGGTCCACAACAAGCATAGGGAGATGCGTAGGCTATCTGCAGGCCAAGAGAGCCACGGCCTTGGATAGGGCTGTAAGTTCTACCACACTATTGGTGGTTCTCGCCATGCAGCTTGGAGAAGGTGCAATACTCTCCAGCTCCACAGCTACCGCTAATGTTTGTAAAATTCATACCTAATAAACACTAGATCAAAAAAAAAAAATCACAGACCTGTGGTAGGCTGGGCACCAGTGCTCTAAAGCAAGTTCTGCCTAAACTGGCAGGGACATTTTTCACATCAGGAACAGGAGTTGTTCCTGGACTCTGTCTGGGGCCAGGCTGGGAGAGACGTGGGGCAGAGTGGGGCAGGGGCAGGGGCAGGGCTGGGGGCTGGGGCCTGGGCAGGGCCAGGCACTCAAGTGAGGCCAAGTCCTGGAGCGAACCAGTTCCTGGTGGCCGTTGGACAGCTCACACAGCTCCCGGCCAGGTCACCCGCCATGGTCCTCCCTCTGCCCTGGCTCTCTCGGTACCATTTCCTTCGCCTCCTTCTGCCCTCCTGGTCCTTGGCACCCCAGGGCTCCCATGGGTGCTGCTCCCAAAACCCCAAAGCAAGCATGGAAGAGCAGACCAACTCCAGAGGAAATGGGAAGATGACGTCCCCTCCCAGGGTAAGTGGCACCACAGGTAGGAACAGAGGGTGTGAGAATTTACACTGGGGTGTGGGAAAAAAAAACCCTCAATCCCACCCTGCACCACCCCACACCATGCCTACCCCTGCAGCTCTTTTCTTAGTTCAGCTACCAACTCCTCTCCCCACCTCCCCCAGCCCAGACCTCAGGGTTCCCTTCCCTCACCCCACCCCCACCCACAACAGCACAGTCCACAAAGTCCTTGAACAGGATCTATTCCCCCTCACCTAACAGTTAATTATTTCTTAGCGGGGAGGAGCGGCTGATCCTCTTTCCAGTGACCCCATATCCTTGTTCAAGGAAGCCAGTTACAGCCCCTGGGCCAGGGAACTCTATTTGCTCCCCCTACTACCACCCAGAGGCCTATGCCCAAGACAGGAAGCTACCTGGCCTTCTCAGTACAGGTGTCCTTAAATGACCGGTTCAAAAACGAATAGGGAAGGTGGAATTTCTCACTTCCAGCCACAGCCTGCGACAAAGCTTCCCAGGGCCTCGGCCCCCTGCCCTGGCTGATGCTCCCTCCCTTAATTCCCTGACCAGGGCCCTGGGACCCACCGCACAGCTGAGCTGGCCCGAGCTGAAGAGTTGTTGGAGCAGCAGCTGGAGCTGTACCAGGCCCTCCTTGAAGGGCAGGAGGGAGCCTGGGAGGCCCAAGCCCTGGTGCTCAAGATCCAGAAGCTGAAGGAACAGATGAGGAGGCACCAAGAGAGCCTTGGAGGAGGTGCCTAAGTTTCCCCCAGTGCCCACAGCACCCTCCGGCACTGAAAATACACGCACCACCCACCAGGAGCCTTGGGATCATAAACACCCCAGCGTCTTCCCAGGCCAGAGAAAGTGGAAGAGACCACAAACCGCAGGCAATTGGCAGGCAGTGGGGGAGCCAGGGCTCTGCAGTCTTAGTCCCATTCCCCTTTGATCTCACAGCAGGCAGGGCACCCAGGCCTTATAGGAATTCACCCTGGACCATGCCCTAAAATAACCTCACCCCAAATACAATAAAGGGACGAAGCACTTATAGATACCACAGACACATGTGTTTCATTTTTAGTTTTGTTAAAAAAAAATTCTGACAAATCAGAAATGGGGGTTCAGGAGTGGTGGTGATGCAAAAGATGGAAGCCATGGGGTGGGGGCTGTCAGGGGTGGGGGCAGTAGTGTCTCCTTCACCCCCACCCTGGTGTCCTCTCCTGAAGGACAGACGGTCACATTCCAAAATGGGCGAGTCTTCTACCGTGTCTGTTCAACTGAGAAGAAAACGTAGCATGGTCAGAATAAGGCATGAAAAGGGGAAAGTGAGGCAGGAACACACGGCACACATGCAGACACTGGTGTACTGCCTGGGTTCAGAGGACGGACGTGGGGGTGAGGGAAGGGATGTAATATGATGAGAGAAGACAGAAACCCCACATAAAGGTCAGAAAAACATCCCAACACAGCATCAAAGACCAGGGGGCATGAACCAGTCAAGTGTCCATTATGCATCAGATGCCCATGACCTATGTGATGGGATTTAGGACAAACACACTAAGGAACAGGGAGGACCTAAAGGGTTTCATGAGATCAGTACTCACTGTAGGAGGAGATGTCTATCTCATCAGGCAGCTCACTAATATTGACCTCAAAGCGATCCTGCACATCATTGAGGATCTTGGCATCATTCTCATCGGACACAAATGTGATAGCCAAGCCCTTGGTGCCAAACCGGCCTGCTCTGGCCACCTGGAGGGAGACAGAGGGTAGCACTGGAAGACCGAAGAGGAAAGAGACCCAGAGGCAGGAATGAAGATGTACAAACAGAAAACAAGGGAATGGGAGAGTGGGATTTTTTCAGCCTGTGAGGTTTACCCGATGCAGGTAGGTGTCAGAATCCTCAGGCATGTCATAATTAAAAGCAATGTTCACCCGCTCGATGTCCATGCCTCGGCCAAATAGGTTGGTAGCCACAAGAATTCGTCGTTGAAAATCTTTAAACTGCTGATACCGAGAAAGCCTTTGTGAGAAAGGAAATTTAAAACATGTTGAGATTCCCTTCTCTCAACTGTCTTTTTCTCCCAAGGACACAAAATATCTTTCCCATCTTCAGCTCACCTCTCCTCCTGGGGCATCCCACGGTGGATGGCAATGGCTGGGAAGTTCTGCTCCACTAGTAGCTGGGCCAAGGCAATGCACCGCTGCACAGACTTCACAAAGATCACCACCTGTTGTGGGGTGGGGTGGGGGGTCGCAAATTGGGGGAATAGGGGTCCATGGTGTGTGAGAGACATTACGTGGGAGAGGGGAGTTTCTAGTAATTACGTTCTCAGGAATTCCTCTTCATTTCTCTTATTCCCCCACTATATATTTAGAGCAGAAAAGGAAATATAACTTTATTTCAGCACTGATTTTTCCCTAAGGAAGCTGGCCTCTGAGGTAGCACAGAGTTCAGAAATCAAAATTGCCAGACATGCTAGGAGATGAGGATGAGATCACCTCATGAAAAAGTGATAAAAAACTAGAATTAAGATCTGGAGGGGTAACTGATATTCCTGCTCACCAAAACATTAAACCTAAGGGAGCTATCCTAATTCTAGAAAGCAGTTTTAAATGCAAATAGACCACTCACAAGTATATTAATTAAACACTTTTTTGAGATGGGGTCTCACTCTGTCCCCCAGACTGGAGTGCAGTGGTGCAATCGCAAGTCACTGCAGCCTCCACCCTCCTGGGTTTAAGAGATCCTTCCACCTCAGCATCCCAAGCAGCTGGGACCACAGGTGCACACCACCACGCCCAGCTACTTTTTTTATTTTTTATTTTTACTATTTGTAGAGACGGGCGTCTCCCTATGTTACCCAGGCTGGTCTTGAAGTCCTGGGCTCAAGCAATGCTCCTGCCTCAGCCTCCCAAAGTACTGGGATTATGGGCATGAGCCACTGCCCTGCACCCAGTCAGAAATGCTTCTCTTGAATAAGCAGTTATTAGAGGAATTAAACATTCAAGAACCCTAACATGCCCCCAAACATCGTTTCAAGACTTTTAACAACTTCCTAAAATCCTTCAAGGACTTTTGGAGACAAGATCTCACTCTGTTGCCCAAGCTGGAGCACAGTAGTGCAATCATAGTTCACTGCAGCCTCAATTTCCTGGGCTCAAGCTATCCTCTCACCTCAGCCACCAGAGTATCTGGGACTACAGGCATACACCACCACACCTGGCTAATTTTTTTCTTCTTTGGTAGTGATGAAGTTTCGCCATGTTGCCCAGACTGGTCTCAAACTCCTGGACTCAAGTGATCCACCTCCCTCAGCCTCCCCAAGTGCTGGGATTACACACATAAGCCACCGTGCCTGGCCAAGGATCTTAATTTTTGAAGTTTATTTTCCTTGAGGTTATTGAGGACATACCCGTGCCAGCCATAGAATAGAAAAGCAGCTCCCACCTTACTCATGCTCAGCCCCTAAGATATTTATACCCTCATTATTCTCTCCCACATCACACATGTGATTTCCTCAATAAAAGTGTACTTAATATCCAGGTTTCTGCTACAGCTGGAGTGCTCCAATGCTCATCCCCCTACTGGACGTCTAACTGACCTGGTTGAACTCAAGGACATCCAGAAGGTCAAAGAGCTTCCGGTTCTTCTCGTTGTCCTTCAGTTTCACGTAGTACTGCTGCAACCCATGCAGCGTCAACTTCGTCTCATCATCCACGAAGATCTCCATTGGCTGGGGGGGAGGAAGGGGGTGGGGAACGGGAGGAGGGCAGAGTGGGGGGGTTAAACCTGGGGGGGTGGAGGAAGTTGATCTCCAATACACCCCATGGGGGGATGGGGAGGAAAGAGAAGATTGAAAACCCCACCCCACTCCCAAAAATACCCACATTTTACTGTGGTCTCTCTCACATTACATCTAATTTCCTTCCTATCAGATGAGTTTTAAGACTGCCCAACTAAAAACTATCATGGGAAAGAAACTGCAAATGAAGTCAAGGAGCAGTGAAACCACCCAATGGCACAGATGCCATTACCTCAAATAGAGGTGGGAGAGGAAAGAAAATGGGAGATGATTCTCAAAGGGAGAGCAAGGACCAAACATCTGGGAAATGATGGGAGGCAGTGACTCAAGGTCAGAATAACTCCATCAGAGGTGCTTCTAAGAACATGGGGTGGGGGGAGGACAACTGCTCCATTTGATTCTCCTACTTCAACTAAGAGAATCTCGTGTGCATTAGCAAAGTGGATGTCTTTTAAGATCAGAATGCTGCAATGGACAGTCAAAATGCCACTTAAGGAGAAACAAAAATTACTCAAGATGAGTTACTTGCCGTCAGACCACAACAGGATAGTTTTAGATGAGACTGGTCTCTTGACTAAGAATTAAACCATCTACAGGTTTACAGGAAAGGTATCAGTAAGTGGTGTTAAAATACCAAATTCAGAGCAGCAGATACGCTTTTAAGGGACAGGATCTCACCATGTTGCCCAGGCTGGAGTGCAGTGGCTATTCACTGGCACAATCATAGCACACTATAGCCTCAAATTCCTGGGCTCAAGTGATCCTCCTGCTTCAGTCTCCTGAATAGCTGGGACTACAGGCACACACCATTATACCTCACTGCATTCATCTTTAAAATTAAAAAACCCCCTGAAGGGGAGGAAAGTAACAAAGACAGAAATTACCACAACTCCAAAGCCCAACTTTCCTAACACTTTTTATACTATCCTGGGGGAAGATAGTTAATATGAAGACCCAGAGGACAAAATAGGAAAGGATGTGTGTGTCATGGGAAAAAAACCAGAAGCCCAATCCCAGAAGGCAGGTTTTGTTTTTTGTTTTGTTTTGATACAGGGTCTCACTCTATCACCCAGGCTGGAGTACAGTGGCACAATTACAGCTTACTGCCACCTCCACGTCCCGGGCTCAAGCAAACCCTCCTGCCTCAGCTTCCCAAGTAGCTGGGACTACAGGCATGCGCCACCACGCCCGGTTTTTCTGGTAGAGACAAAGTCTCACTACACTGCCCCAGCTAGTCTCAAATTCCTGGGCTCAAGCAATCCTCCCACCTTGGCCTCCCAAAGTGCTGGGATTAGAGGTGAGCCACCAGGCCCAGCCAAGGCAGGCTTTCTAAAGAGAAGTTCCATGGCCTCCTTCAAATCTCATTCTAGCCCCAAATACAGCTAAAGAGTGATCATCCCACGGGAAGGAACACTGCAGGGAGGGGAAGAACACACTCCACTGCTTATGCAATTGGCCCCACCTAGCCCCAAACCCTAACAACCACCCGATTACATCCACTTTACCTTTCCTATGTCCCTCTCCTCTGAGTATTAAAAAAAACAAAAAAATTTTTTTAAGAAAAAAAATCTACCACCCCATTCAGGACACCCCTCCCCAACACATATTGGGGGAAACGGGGCACGGCACGCGTTGGGTTCAGGAAAAAAACCGGGAACGGAAAAAGAGGCTGGTTTGGTCCTCAGCTTCCTGGTCAGGTTTCCCCGCGGCCTCCGCTGCCGCCATCCACCGCTGGGTGCCGTCTGCATTCCCTCGCCGCGCCACGGTGCTTCTCTGTTGCCGGCTCACATCAACCGAGGTTCCAGATGGGTGCAAGGAGATGTGGGTGGGAAGGAGTAGGGTATCGGGGATTGAGGTGCCAAAGGCCCCCACCCCTGGAGGTGGGGAAGGGGAGGATTCATTTGTGCTGATGCTCTTCTTTTGGACATGCCCTGCCATCTGTCTGTCCCTCTCTTGCTCTCCTGCCACCGGGAAGTAGGAGTTTTGGTGAGCAGAAGGCTCCAGCTGTATGCTCGATGCCACCTTGAGGGTGCGTGGCTGTAGGGTGCATGTAAGAGACGATGGATGGGTGGGTGGTAGGGCAGAAAAATCCTGCCCTCCCCCGAAGGGAGAAGAGGTTCAAAAATGTTGTGATTTATGAAAAAGTCGAACACTACCCGCTCTCACATTAACCCGACCAAGTCTTCCGGAGTTTCCCTGGCACCCGCGCAGGCCCTAACACTAGCTGTCTCTGCTTCTGTATGTCTCTTCAAGGAGTCATTACTCCCAGTTGGGCACAAGCCGCCTTCTTGGCACTTGAATGACAAGGGAGTCTGAGGAAGAGGGCGAGGAAGGGGAGGAGGCAGCGGGCGGGGAGTGGAGGGAGAGAAGGTAGAAGGGTATTTACATCTTGCATGAACTTGCGGCAGACTGGACGGATCTCTTTGCTCAAGGTAGCACTGAACATCATGACCTGCTTCTCGTGGGGGGTCATGCGAAAAATTTCCTGGACATCCCGACGCATGTCTACAAGAACAAGGAAAAAAATTGTAGGAGAAAATAAGCAGGTATGATAAACAAAGATTAGAGGTAGACTTCCCAGTGAGGTGAAGATTGCTGGAAATAGTAACAACACAATGGAAAGAGCAATGGACTTGGAATCAAGAAGTGGGATCAGATTCCAGCTGTTGGTTTTAACCAAGCAAGAAATAAGGTAAAACCCCAAAGTTCCCAACTATGAAATGGGGATAAAGCCCAGTGCAGAGGCTCTCAAGGCCTTCAAAACATGCTTTATGGGACCTTCTCCCAACCCTTTCCTGCCCAAGCCCCAGCCAGCCTTCAGCAGACTACAAATATCAAGCACATATTATATTCCAGATATCAGAGTCCATCTATGACTCTCTGGATTACTTTTCTATCAAGTCAGGCAAATATGACATCCCTACCTGGAGCCCACCTTTACAGCTCACCATATAGAATTGCCAAAGATCATTTGTAATGACTTATGGGGCCTATGTCCAACCCCACTCTCATTCACCAAGATTCAATTCTTACAGAAAAATCTTCCATTAACCCCACCTGGCACACTAGAATACCACATCACACAAACTGCTACAAACACTCTCTACATTAATCCCAGACCTGAGTCTAGACACTTATTCAGCTATAAATTCTGACTGTAAATGCTGTGCTGGAGATGCCAGAAGGGTACTGTCTTCTCTTTCAGTTTAGAATCTCCCCTATGACTCCCAGTATATGAATCTATAATGAAAACGGTGGTGGTGGTGATGACTTATGCCTAAAATTATCAAAGTCCCCTATTCTCAAAGGTTAAAAACAAAAATCATAGAAAGATGATAGATGACACCCTTTACTGTGCTTAAAAGCATAATAAAGACCAACCAGGGAACCCAGAGCCATCAGTCATGGGTGATAGATAAGAGTCGTCCTTGCACTGAGGTGCTCCTGTTTCAAATAAACATCATTTGGCTCCAAAGAACAACTCCCCAGCATTAGCCAAGCCCCAGCACTGCCACTCACCGAGCTGTTCAAGCATCTTATCACATTCATCCAAAATAAAGTGTTTAATGTGTTTGAGGTTGAGGCTCTTATTTCGAGCCAGGGCTAGGATACGGCCTGGAGTCCCCACGACGATATGCGGGCAGTTCTTCTTCAGCACCTCTTCATCCTTCTTGATAGACAGACCACCAAAAAAAACAGCAACCTGCCGAGCCAGAAGCAAAGAGTCTCAAAACAGAGGAAGGAAAGAGTCCAATCCCCCCAGGGTTCCCACTCTGTTTGAGCTAAACCAATTTTTAGCATGTTTCCAAACTAAAACTAACTTTAGAGGTCACCTAATTTAAAAATTTTATGTCCCCCCCACCAAACACTGAGGGTGATTGCCTAAAGTTACATGGCTAGTCGGAGCAGTCAGGACAATAATTCAGTTCTACTGACTTAATCTAACCAACTTCCTTCATTTATGAGGCCAGGCTTCATTTAAAAAATAAAGGAGCCAGGTGTGGTGGCACACGCCTGTAATTCCAGCTACTCAGGAGGCTGAGGCACGAGAACCTGGGAGGCAGAGGTTGTGGTGAGCCAAGATCCCACCGTTGTACTCCAGCCTGGGCAACAAGAGTGATACTCCATCTCAAAAAGAAATAAAATAAATAAAAATAAAATAAAGCCAGGCCCAGTGGCTCACGCCTGTAATCCCAGCAGTTTGGGAGGTCAAGGAAAGTGGATCACTTGAAGCCAGGAGTTCAAGACCAGCCTGGCCAACACGGTGAAACCCCATCTCTACTAAAATACAAAATTTACAAATTTACTACTAAAAAACAAAAAATACAAAATTTAGCCGGGAGGCTGAGGCAGGAGAATCGCTTGAACCCGGGAGGTGGAGATTGCAGTGAGGCGAGATTGAGCCACTGTACTCCAGCCTGGATGACAGAGCGAGACTCCATCTCAAAAAATAAAAAATAAATAAATAAAGGACAGCAAGAAATCACCAGATTAGTGTAAAGTACCACAAAAAACACATGGAACATTAAGGTTTCCTAAATAAACCCAGAATCTCAAACTCTTTTCACACAAACCCCATGAAATTACTGCTTCGGGCTAAATATTATCATTTCATGTTAAAACCATTAGGTGAATAGTTGTTTGGGGATCTGGGCCTTGGTACAGTATCAAATAACACCAGAAACTACTTTCTGGTTTCAAGGGGGAAAAGAACAACTGTGGAATCAGACTGTCACGACGCTAATCCTATGGTAAATCTAAAATCATTAATGAGGCCAGGTGCAGTGGCTCACTCCTGTAATCCCAGCACTTTGGGAGGCCGAGGTGGGTGGATCACTTGAGGTCAGGAGTTCGAGACCAGCCTGGCCAACATGGCGAAACCCTGTCACTACTAAAAAAAAACAAAAATTAGCCAGGCATGATGGCACACTGTAGTCCCAGCTACTCGGGGGGTTGAGGCGGGAGAATCGCTTGAACGTGGGAGGCGCAGGTTGCAGTGAGCTGAGATCGCGCCACTACACTCACAGCCTGAGGGACACAGCGAGACTCCATCTCAAAACAAATAAATAAAAATAAAATAAAATAACTAACATAAGTCGACCAGATTTGTGGCATAACAGGAGATACAGCATCACCTATGAAGGATTCTTGCCAAAAATGCTTAACTTCAATCAGATTTTTTCTTTTTTTTTGAGATGGGAGTCTCACTCTGCCACCCAGGCTGGAGTGTAATGGCACAATCTCAGCTCACTACAACCTCTGCTTCCTGGGTTCAAGCGATTCCCCTGCCTCAGCCTCCCAAGCAGGTGGGACTATAGGTGTGTGCCACCATGCACGGCTAATTTTTGCATTTTTAGTAGAGAGAGGGTTTCATCCTGTTGGCCACATTGGTCTTAAACTCCTGACCTCAAATAATCCACACGCCTTGGCCTCCCAAACTGCTGAGATTACAGGTGTAAGCCATTGTGCACTTGGCCAGAATCCTCAATATTCACACACCACTGGAGCTGTTTTAAAGTTTCCGGCTTTCTCTGCCACATACCCCAAAATTATTAAACTGATATGATTCAAAGTCAGTATAAAGTAGTAAGAAAAGGGTGGTCTTGTGTTAAGCATCATCCATAGCCCAATTACGAATCCTCCTGTTACATAGGAACTCAACACTCTGTTACACCACAGCAAACTAAAGCTTCTCCAAAATTAAAGAGACTATTGGCCTACAAGTTTCTTATCCCTCCAACTTGCCACACCCTCACTCTCAGGTCTCTTTACCTTGGCTTACCTTGACATTGGGCATGTATTTAGAGAAGCGCTCATATTCCTTGCTGATCTGAAAAGCCAACTCCCGAGTGTGACACATCACCAGCACAGACACCTTAGGCAGGAAGTATACGGAGACATATGGTAAATGTAGCTCTTCATTATCCCCTCTAGGGAAGTGACTGTCACAAAAACACACCTGGGCCGATAATAAATGACTTCAATTCTGTGATCTAAATCATGAACCCCACGCTTGCGACAGAACATCCCCCACAGCTGTCAGGTTGTCAAGGGTAACAGAGGTCATGTGCTCATGGCTCTGCAAGCATCATGTAGTTAGGACAAAAACACCCTTCCCTTATAGTCCTAACCAAAATCCCCTCCCCAGCACTCTCCCCAAATATACCTGCCCAGTAACTGGCTCCAGCTGTTGCAGTGTGGCCAAGACAAACACTGCTGTCTTTCCCATGCCCGACTTGGCCTGGCACAGGACATCCATTCCCAGAATGGCCTGAGGGATGCACTCATGCTGGACTAAAAGTTGGGGGGGGAGGAAGATAAATTAGACTTCAGTCTCCAGATAACTCTACCTTTTTCACCATGCCAAGCCCATTTCTTACCACTCAATTCTCAAAGTCTAGTATTTACCTGGTTCTTGCCAACTTCCAGACCCATTTTACCTCTCTCTGCTCAATTACATTCACCTCAAAATCAGACTCTCCTAATTCCTCCTAGCTTTAGCCTCCTCCAGATCTAGGCCTTCCCAGTCCTAGTAACAAACCCCTTGCATCTACCAACCGCTCACCTTCAATGATCCTAGCTCTGTCCTTATTTTTCTTAATCTGTAACAATTCATGACATTTGAATACCTGCCACAGACCACTTCTCCTGCTTAGGTTGCTATACTTCGGGTCACGTAACTACTACAACCCTGGACAAAATGAAGGACTTGGTACCTGACCCAGAAGCCAGTCATCTCTAAACCAGTCATAGAGGTTTCCAGAGACCACAGTTGGCCTGGCCCAACAGAGGGAGACTACAGGTCCAAGCAGGACCTTTCTGGAAATTTAAAATTAGAAGTCAAGTGACAAAATTAAAAATAAGCAGACAAGAAAAGCCAGTCACAAGAATGAATGGCAGACCTGGAAGTCACTTTTGGATCATTAGCACTTTGGTGCTATCACGAAAGAAAGAATAAGCCTGTATAAGCCTCCTCTATCCAAAATTGTTTTTGATACTTATCCCGATTTTTTCTTCCTCACTGTCGCCCCGGCTGGTGCACAGTGGTGCAATCACGGCTCACTGAAGCCTCAACCTTCACCTGCTTAATTTCTGAACGTTTTGTAGAGACAGGAGTCTCGCTATGTTGCCCAGGCTTCTCTTGCACTTTTGAGCTCAAGTGGCCACCCTCCTGCCTCGGCCTCCCAAAGTGCTGGGATTACAGGCGTGAGCCACTGCACCTGGCCCTGATCTAGCCTTAAGTATAAACCCTTACCACCACCTGAGCAACGACAAACACATCTTTGTATTGTACCCTTAAAGAGCCCAATGAGCACTACATGCCCAAGAGAAAATTTACCTTCTGACGGATGCTCAAAGCCACAGTCGACAATGGCCCGGAGCAACTCTGGCTTGAGCAGGAAGTCACGAAAGCCAGAGCTGTGGATGGAGACATAGGAGCCCTTGACATCCTTCTTGGCAGGGGCCTCAGCCCCATCTCCCCCAGCTGCTGTCTCCACCTCATCATCTTCATAGTCCAAGAGCTCATTGTCCACATCGTTCTCTGCCATAACTGGGCCGGCAGGGGAAGAAGGGAAGGGGGATCTGGATGGGTTCTCGCAAAATAGGTGAAAACAAGGGGTGAAGAGTAGGGGATTGAGGAACAGCAAAGGAAAACAAAGATACTATTTCTAACAGAAGAGCTGGAGGGGGGAAAAAAAAAAGCAAGACTTAATCACGAGCACAGCCTTCACCACCTCTTTTCCATCCCCAGTTCCCACTTTCCCTAAACCAGGAAACTTTTACCTGGAAAGAAAAACAGATACAAAACATAAAAACGAAAAGCAAATATAACAGAACAGAAAAAGCAGTACCAGGGAAAGTGGTTAGGACAGAGGTTCCCAACAAGATTAGCAATCACAGTAGCGGAAACCAGAAAAGTTGGAAGGGGAAGACCAACTTATAAATTCTTGATCTGAAAGTAACAGTGAGGAAATAGAATAGATAATAAAAGGTAAAATATGACTAATAACTTAGTAAAGTGGAAAATGGAGATGACAAGTAGAGTCCTGAAAAGTCCTCAAAGGAAGACTCCGCTTTCCCTATTATAATCCCACCGTTATGGATGCCTAACTCAGCAGCCATCAGTCAAGGGTGATAGATGAGGGTCATCACTGCGCAAAGCGCTCACCTTTCGAAAAGAAAACATCATATGGCCGCCGTCCACCTCCCATAGCTCTCAGCCTCCCACTTCTCAGTATCCTCCCTTCCGCTGTTTAAGCAAGCCTTGTGTAATTAGCATGGGGGGGAGGGGCGGTGCAAGACAAATGGCTCGGCCACAAAAAAACAAAATTCATGTCTCCACCCTACAATAAGAAAGCTAATAGGTGACAGAGAAAGGCAATCCCCGCCCAGGCTTTAACAGGATCTTTACCAAGTGGTCTCACATCACTGTTACGCTACGAAGGTGAGACTCCTTTTGGAGAAACATACAATGACACCAATCGTATCGTAAACACTTGGAAGGCACTCCAAATTAAGTTGGGCAAGTCAAGGTGAGAAAAATCCAACTGGGCCCAGAAACCAGCTCCTCCTCCCAGTCCCACCGAGGGCCGAAAAAGAGCTCAAGAAAGAACAAGGAAGGTGAGAAGAGCCCCGCCCTCCGCAAATACCAAGACCAAGGGACGCCGAGCACCGCCTCTCATTGATGCTGAGGCCTCCAATATGAGAAGAACCCATTGGAAGAAGGGAGCAAAACGAACACAATGGCGCCGAGGACACCATCTTGGATTGGGTCCCCCCTTAGCTTCCCTTCCTTCCCCCAGGAGCTCTTTGCTCTCGAAAGGGATGCAAGCTAAGGAAATAGCGAACCAACTAGGCCCCAGCGACCAGACCATCGCCTGTGAAAAGGGTATCAGGAACCCATGTGACGGGATGGGTGCGGAGAAGCGCAGATGGAAACGGATTGTAGCGAAGGCCAAAGCTTACCTAAACAGGGAGAGCGCGTATGGCGGCAGCAACAGCGACGAAGGAGGGAAATCTGCCTTCACTTCCGGTTGCAGGCTTCCCTCTACTCCAGCCTCCCGCCTTCTTGGCTGCAAGAGCGCAGGCGCAAGGGACCGGAAACAGGGCCTTCCGCGGTTATACAGATCCGTGCGCTCCAGGCTTGCCTTTGGAAAATGCCTGTCTGAAATTTGTTTTAAAACCGTTTCTAACTTCACTGCTACCGCCAGTAACAAAATATATAAAGGAAACTAACGTCTCCCCCCCACTGTTATCTTTATTCTCTTATCCTACTCCTCTCCATGCCCCTCATCTCTTCGTTTAGGTTTTTGCCACGCAGGTCTTCTCTGTAGGCACCCCTCCGTGGATGCGCGAGGAACGAGTGTGGCGAAGGCTGCGAGTTCCCACGGGGTCCTTGGCCCGGTAGTGAAGGTGACCTGAGGACTGCTGGGCACGCACTAGGAACCGGCAGGCCCTAGCTGAGGGGAGGGAGGAGGGAAGTCTCAGGGAACTGGATTGCTCGGGGGTGTTTCCCGACTCTTTCCCAGTCGTGGGGCTGGTGGGCGGTATTTTCCCAAAAGGATGCTGTCCGAGGTAGCTGATGCCCTAGGGCCAGTGAGTCAGGAAGGTGTTCTGAATCCGAGCGGGAAGACGGGGTCTGGATTCGGCCCCAAGTGTTAATAGTAGGGCTTGAGGGTTATACTACATTCCATTAATACTGTTTTTGTTTTTGTTTTGAGACAGAGTCTCGCCCTGTCGCCCAGGCGGGAGTGCAATGTCCTGATCTCGGCTCACTGCAACCGCTGCTTCCCGGGTTCAAGCGATTCTCCTGCCTCAGCCTCCCGAGTAGCTAGGATTACAGGCGCCCGCCACCACGCCCAGCAAATTTTTGTTTTTTTAGTAGAGACGGGGCTTCACCCATGTATGACCTCAGGTGATCCACCCACTTCGGCCTCCCAGAGTGCTGGGATTACAGGCGTGAGCCACCGCGCCCGGCCCATTAATACTGTTAATTCGAGCAGAATGTTCTTGGCCCCGCCCCAACAGCCCCATTGTTCAACCTGGATTTTTTTCCTGAATGAAACATTTGCTATCCCCGTCTTTGAGATGGGGAGCCACAAAAGTAAGACCTGATGTCCTGCTGTGTAATAAAACAACAAACGTTTGGCCCTCTCCCTGTTAGCATACTTAATCATTTAATACTAAGGAGTAGGTACCGTTATTCTCATCTTATTGACAGAAGCGAAGCAAAGCAACATATCTCAAGCAGTACGGCTGGTGAGGTTACAGCCAGGATGCAAACATCTCTCATTCTCTATTGTATTCTGCCTCCCTGCTCAAAGAATCTGGTTAGTAAATACACTGCAGGTTACCTTATTGGTTCAAATTCTTGGTGAAGTAAGCTTGTCTTCAGTGACAAATGAAGTAACTAATTCAAGAATGGTGTCATAGAAGGTATTTTCCCAAGTATCATTTAATTTATTCAAAAGTATTTATCAACTGCCTCCCTTGTGCCACATGTTGTCCTAGGATCTGGGGACACAACGGTGAACAGCCCTGTTCTCACAGTGTTTACATTACAGGAAAGAAAACACATAAACACAAATACAATGTCAAGTATCGATAAGTGGTCAGGGTGCAGTGGCTCAGGCCTGTAACCCAACCCTTGAGGAAGCCGAGCCCGAAGGATTGCTTGAGCCCAGGAGTTTCAGACCAGCCTGGGCAAGTGAGACCCCATCTCTACAAAAAATTTTAAAATTAGCAAGGCATAGTGGCACTCGCCCGTAATCCCAGCTACTCAGGAGGCTGAAGTGGGAGGATCATTTGAGTCCAGGGGTTCAAGGCTGCCGTGAGCTGGAACTCCAGCCTGGGCAACACAGCAGGACCTTGTCTCAAAAAACCAGTAGCAGTAAGTGCTATGAAGAAAATGCAAGGTAAAGGGGCAAAGAGCACTTGCTCCTACACTCCAGCTTTTCTCTACAGTTGCGATCTATAGTCCTCAGATTCCCAAATGAGGAACCATGTTTCTCACTTTAGAGAAATAATAAAGTACTACTTGTTCTTGTTTCTCCAAGAAGTTTCAAAGGATAGCCATTTGGGCTGTTTAGGGAATATGTAAACAAAAAACAAGAAAGTGACTGAAGGCCAGGCACAGTGGCTCACACCTCTAATCTCAGCACTTTGGGAGGCCAAGGCAGGTGGATCACTTGAGGTCAGGAGTTTGAGACCAGCCTGACCAACATGGCGAAACCCCATCTCTACTAAAAATACAAAAAATAGCCAGGCGTGGTGGCACACACCCATAATTCCAGCAACTTGGGAGGCTGAGGCAGGAGAATCGCTTGAACCTGGGAGGCAGAGGTTGCAATGAGCTGAGATCACGCCATTGTATTCCAGCCTGGGCAACAAGAGCAAAACTCCATCTCAAAAAAAAAAAAAACAAAGTGACTGAAAATGAGAAATGATGAGGCAAAAGGAGGCTGCTTCAACTCACCAATTTATTTGCCAATAATTATTTTATTGATACTTTTTTTATTGTTACAATGGGAAAGTAAGGTGTCAAGGATATAGAAAGGAAGGGCATGCATATGAGGGAACACAGTATCATTTTAGATCTTAGAAAGCAATGAGCATCTGATAAGTCTTTGGGGAAATAGGAAAGGAGGAAAATCTAATAAAGACAAAGATCAGCAAAAGAAAAACAAAGAGAGGCTACAAAATGCAGTTATCTACCTGGAATTATAAGAGAGGGGCTAAATGTAGTCATCTCCTCTTTTTGGAGATCAGAAGGTCTCTGGGAAAAGAGAAGAACCAATTTTTCAGAAAATAACTAGGGTCACAGAATGAACAAGTGGAATTAGAGAGCCAGTGATGGACGTGAGGAAACAGCTGTGTAGGTTTTGACCAGTGAGCAGGTGGTGGTAATAGTATCACAGGGTTGCTACTTACTGAATCACTGCTACAACATGCAAGGAACTGTGCTAGACTTTACAGAATGATTCCTAATCATTGAAGCAACCCTCACAAGGTAGGCATTATTATCATCCCAGTTTCACAGAGGAGGACATCGAGGCTACCAAGTTAAGTAGCTTGTCCTGGTTTCACAGCCAGCAAGTGACAGGGTCAAGAGAGGGACCCACATCGGCCAGACACTGAAGTCAGGATGTTTTCCACATTCCTACTTCCCCATATTACAAATTTCACAGAGGGTTTAGGTGAGAATGACTTGGAAGTTTACAAAGTCCCAGTGAGGGTTAAAGAACAACAAGGAGATTCAGATGTGAGCAGGATATTTATAAGTGTCACAGGAAAATTATTGGATCCTGCCTCCCAGGATTTCTAGGGGATGGAAAGAAGACAGGGATTATGGTGGGAGGTGATTTTGATTGGAGGATTTCTTTGAGGGAGGGAACTGGCAGAAGGAGTCAGGCCCTACGGTGGCCCTAGGCAGAAATCCGGTAGTTGGGGTGGACCTGGGGCCTGACGTCGCAGACCATGCCAAGAAGCTGGGCCAGGACACGCTCTCGGTTTCTCTGCTGGGAGCTCTGCATGCCCTGCACCTGGCGCCTTGTAGCCTGCTCCACCTCAGCAGACAGGTTCCCCTGGGAGCCCATGGCCTGGGGGGTAGGGAGAGGGGTGGAAGAGAGAAAGGGAAAAGCAGAAACAGACAAGGGTCCAGGCATATGAGGGGAAAGATCCTGAAACAAAGCCTAGAAGAAAGGCCCTCTCAGAAACCACCCCCATCCCACAGAAATATCCCAACACCAAAGAGATCAACACAGTCCCCTTTCCCCTTAGACCTAACATGCAACTTCATCCTAAAACAGACCGTAATATCCCCACCACCTCACCATCCATGACCATAAAACTCTACCCTCCACCACAAATGTTAATCATACTCCACATAGATGTTATACTTTACACAGACTGTGGCATTCCGCCCACAAGCTCTATGTGGCCTTCAAAACTCCCAGACTCTCCTACATATCATCACAAAGTTTCACCAATGTTGTGGTCCCTGCCAGGGTCCCCTCAGCCTCAGCCCTCTGCCACCATATTTTCTTGTTGAGTCACCCTTACACACCTCACTAGATGCACCCACCAACTTGCAGTGGGGTCTCATCCCGACTCTGCCTCAACTCACCGCCTGCTGCTTGCTCTGGAATTCGTGCTCTCGCTCTCTGCGGTATTGCTCCACCTCCATCTGTGCCTCCTCCTTTGCCTGCTTCAGTCGCCGGGCCTTCCCTGGAGGCAGAAGAAAGGACAGTGAGTGGGGATGGACCCACACACACACAATGTAATAGCAGGAGTCAGTCCCTTCCAGAAAGTTATACAGCCTTCTCTCAGCCAACCAGGTGCCAGATTCTAATATCCATCCATTTCTTCCCTCCTAACCAGCCTCCAGACCCTAGCTGTCTTCCCGCCAGCCTTGGGTTTTCCCAAAATGTTTGCTGTCCCCCACCCCCAATTTTCTTTCCAAACTCCTAAGGGAGGAAAGAGGAGACTCACTCTTTCTGGCATCTGCCACCTTCTCAGCTGCCCGCTTCTCAGCTTGCAGAAGCTGCTGGATACCTTGGGACTGACTGGCCATTTCTGTTGTTATGGCCGATGCTGTTTTGAATGCTGTCAAAGTACCAGATGGCTCCCACCCCCCACCGCTTACTTCTCCTCCTCCAGCTCGTTGCTGCAGTCCTCCACTACCCCTGGGTCTTAGTGCTCCCCTGCTCACTCAGCCTCCTGCACCGAGTGTCTCTCCCAATCTCATCCTCCTATTGATGACTGGTCCTCCTCTCCAGCACTTCTTGCTCAGGCAGTACCCAAAGGGGCCGCCTGGGAGCAGCAGAGACCAGGCCCAAAGCTGCGGGCTTACAACAGGTTAGCCATCCCAGTCGGAAAGGTCTAGGGATGAGGCAGGGGCGGAGACGGGGGAGTACTGAGGTGAGAGAAGGAGAACTTGATTGGTGGTAACAGAGGAAGCATAAAGGGTTGTGAATGCGGTGAAAAGGTAAGGATGTCATCATGCAACCTGTGTTGGGAAAAGAGCATTCTGGGCTTAATTCTAAACTAACTCTCTACCTTTCTCTCTCTCTCCACCATCCCGCCCCCTCCCCTGCCTCCCGTTGTTAACATCTCCATCTTTTTCTACATATTTCTCAAGTCCAAATTTTTGCATCTCACTTGCCCCATCCTACGATAGTCTTCTTCCGTCTTTTGTCTGTATTTTTTCTTTTTTTTGATCTGTCCCTGTTGTTGTCCCACTGTGGTTTTTGTTTTTGTTTTCCATGTTTAATGTGATTTTTATCCTGTCTTTATCTCCTCTATTTTCTCTGTCTTCTCATCTTTTCGTCCATCACTGAACCATCTCCTCTCTCTGCCAAGTTAGAGGAGGCGGGAAAAAACCTCCAAATAACTCTCTTTTCTCCCTCCCCTCCCCTCGCCTCCTTTTCCTCGCCTCCAGTCCAGTCTTCTGGTTTCAGACGGCCCCTTTAATTTAAGTTCCCTAGTTTCCCCTGGGAGATCTGGCCAAGAACTACCCGGTCGGGGCGGAACGACATCCGGTAACGCCCCTCACAGTTCACTTCCGTCCTCCACCTGCGTCTCTGCTTGCGCCATTTCCTCCAGCCTGGAGTGTCTCCGCCCTTCCCGCCTCCCGTCTCCGAGCTTCTTAAACACAGGCCTTGGGCCTACGGCTCTGGGGGTACTTGGGGGGGCGGGGGCAGGTCTGATGAGTAACCCCTCCCCCCAGGTTCCAGAGGAAGAAGCCTCCACATCTGTCTGCCGGGTACATGATATTCAATTTCTAGATCATTATTGGAGATTATCTGTGACTTTTTAAAACTCAGATTTCTGCTGATAAAAATTTTCCCCATCCGGCCCTGTTGGGTTTTTTTAAAGTTCTTTGTTAAAAATTAAAAATTTACCTGGGCTCCTGAGCCTTAAACCAATTATTTACCCTTTTCTCGAATTTTACATTAAAAAAATTAAACCTCTGATCCTATCACCCCCCTCAAAAAAAATTTTTTTTCAAATCTATCATCTGATAAAGGATCAGGGTTAGGTTAGGCCTCATCTCTTGCTGAAGATATTAAAAAAAGACGGAACCAAAGGGAGAAACAACAGGGGATGTCAGAGATGGAGGGAGAAGGACCAGCCAAGGCTGAAGTCCTGACTGCTGCCTTTTTTCCTTCCCCAGCCCAAGAGTTCCATGGCCTCCACTTCCCGCCGCCAACGCCGAGAACGTCGCTTTCGTCGTTACTTGTCTGCAGGACGGCTGGTCCGGGCCCAGGCCCTCCTCCAGCGACACCCAGGCCTCGATGTAGATGCTGGGCAGCCCCCACCACTGCACCGGGCCTGTGCCCGCCACGATGCCCCTGCCCTGTGCCTGCTGCTTCGGCTCGGGGCTGACCCTGCCCACCAGGACCGCCATGGGGACACGGCACTGCATGCTGCTGCCCGCCAGGGCCCAGATGGTGAGTCTGCTCAGTGGGGAACAAGGTCATAAGCAGCTGACCAGACCTGAAATGAAAGCCAACCAATAGTTGAGAAATAAGCTGGTTATTTGGTCATCAGGACCTAGGGAAGGAGTTAACCAAGTTGGCATGTGGCTGTCATTTGTCCCTTTACATTACTGAGCTACCATTGTCTGAAGAACCCAACATTCCCCAAAGATCAACTGGTCTTCAAATTTCACATCTGTTTAGATTAGTAGCTACTTTGTTTCTTGACAGATTGTTTGCTCGTAGCCAAAAAGTAGCATAGAAGGTAGGCTCTGGAGTTAGATTGCCTGGATTCAAACCCCAGCTCCAAATCCCAGCTCCACACTTCATAGCTACGTATTCTTGGACAGGTTACTTGAGGCTTAGTTTGCCCATGTGTAAAAATTAAAATAATAACAACCTTTGCTATGTGCCAGACATTTCTTATAAAGTAACACATTTAATCCTCACAACAATCTTAGGAGGTGAGTACTGATATTATCCCCCATTTCCCAGCTGAGGAAACAGGGCATAGAGAAGTCATTTGCCAGAGTTACAGTTATTCACTGGTAGAGCAGAGATTATAACCCAGATGGACTAGATAGAGTGTCCATGCTTTTAACAGCTACATTGTCCTGTGTTATACATTATAGCATTGTACATTGATTGTGCCCATGTTCAGAGTACCCATGTTGTGCCATATATGTTTTGAGAATCAACTGACATAGTACATAATTAGAGTACCTGGCACACACGATAAGCACTTGGTATATGCTGGCGATTGTTGTTCCTGTTTCTCTGTTTTTTGTTTTTGTTTTTGTTTTTTATGAAGTTTCACTCTTCTTGCCCAGGCTGGAATGCAATGGTGCGATCCTGGCTCACTGCAACCTCTACCTCCCAGGTTCAAGTGATTCTCATGCGTCAGCCTCCCAAGTAGCTAGGATTACAGGCGCATGCCACCACGCCCAGCTAATTTTTATATTTTTAGAAGAGATGGGTTTTCGCCATGTTGGACAAGCTGATCTCGAATGCCTGACCTCAGGTGATCCACCAACCTCAGCCTCTCAAAGTGCTGGGATTACAGGTGTGAGCCACCACACCTGGCCTTGTTCCTGTTTTTGTTATCAACAGGTCCATACTCCCTTAACCACAATTCTAAACTCAAAAACACTCTGAGAACCAACATTTTTCATCAGGCTGCCACCAAAATTCATTTGGTGACAGAAACCTAATCTGAACTAAAGTAAGACTATTATTTATTTTCATCCTACTGATGTCAATATTCATACATTTCCCTGCAGAAACACTCATGTGTTTGGTTCTTGGGCTGCCTAGGCCCTCCTGGGCTACCTAATATAGAGTGAGTGTACTTTTAGGTCAGCCCTATCAAGTCCCAAAAACATTTGAATTCTGCAAAACCTTTGGCACTGAAGGATTCAAATGGGGAACCTGGTGATATTATAATAGTGGTGGAGGCCAGGTGCGGTGGGTCATGCCTGTAATCCCAGCACTTTGGGAGGCCAAGGCAGTCAGATCACGAGGTCAGGAGTTCGAGACCAGCCTGACCAACATAGTGAAACCCCCATCTGTACTAAAAATACAAAAATTAGCCAGGCATGGTGGCACACACCTGTAGTCTCAGCTACTTGGGAGGCTGAGGCAGGAGAATCACTTGAACCCGGAAGACAGAGGTTGTGGTGAGCCGAGATTGCACTACTGCATTCCAACCTGGGCAACACAGCAAGACTCCGTCTCAAAAAAAAAAAAAAGAGTGGTGGAAGCAGCTCTTTATAGGTAGAGCCCTGCTTACTAGAATAAAAGCTGAAACCTTCTTTCCCCATCTAGAGATTTCCTTCTGGAGTAAGAACATTACAGGAAAACCTCTAGATCCAGATGAACAACCCTAACATCCCCCAGCTCAAGTATAGACAGAAGGCCCCTCCCCCAAAACTCCCCCAAATGGTCAAAAAACCCCCTATTTAAAAATTTCCTTTAACGTACCTGAGATAGGCTAGCATATTCAGATTTGTTTCTTGTTGTTTTTACTTAAAACAGAGTAGGTTTACTGAGTGCAGGCATCTAACTTGACAGCTCATATTGTAAGAGGCAGGACCCTGGAAGGCAAAAGAGCAGATTACCCCGAAGCAGACCTGCATCCAGACCCCAGCTCTGCCATCAACAGGGACATGCAGCTTACCTCTGTGAGCCCAATTTGCCTCGCAAAAATGGGAGTTTTGTTTTTTGTTTTGTTTTGTTTTTTTGAGATGGAGTTTCCCTGTTGTTGCCCAGGCTAGAGTGCAATGGCGCGATTTCAGCCCACCTCAACCTCTGCCTCCTGGGTTCAAGAGATTCTCCTGCCTCAGCCTCCCAAGTAGCTGGGATTACAGGCATGCACCATCACGCCCGGCTAATTTTGTATTTTTGGTAGAGACGGTTTCTCCGTGTTGGTCAGGCTGGTCTCAAACTCCCGACCTCAGGTGACCTGCCAGCCTAGCCTCCCAAAGTGCTGGGATTACAGGCGTGAGCCACCGCGCTCAGCCAAAATGCCCCTGATAGTGTGGTAGGGATTTCCTTTATTGTTTGTTTGCTTGTTTGTTTTGAGACAGGGTCTCATTCTGTCTCCCAGCCTGGAGTGCAGTGGTGCAATCATGGCTCACTGCAGCCTCTACCTCGTGGGCTCAAGCAGTCCTCCCACCTCAGCCTCCCTAGTAGCTGGGACTACAAGCACACACCACCATGCCCAGCTAATTGTTTGTATTTTTGGTAGAGACTGTTTTGCTATGTTATCCAGGCTGTTCTGCATCTCCTGAGTTCAAACAGTCTGCCCACCTCGGCTTCCCAAAGTGCCGGGACTAGAGGCGTGAGCCACCACACCCAACTCCATTGTATTGAATTTTAAGAAGCTGGTGAGACTGATATTATCCCATTTACAGATGAGGAAAGCAGGGCCCAAAAGGTTCGGGAACTTGTCTGAAATCTCACAGCTCTCAGGTCATTGTCTTCCAAAGGGGGACCCAAGCTCAGTGCCTTCACTCCCAGACCCTGGTGTCCTCTCTGGCCTTATTTACTCCTGGTCCTCTGCCAGCCCTGCCACCAGATGGCCTTCTAACTCCTTGGTTGAAAGGCCCATCTCATTCAGCTTTCAGCTTCCTTTTTCTTTTCCTTTTGAGACGGAGTCTTGCTTTGTCGCCCAGGCTGGAGTGCAGTGGCATGATCTCGGCTCACTATAACTTCTGCTTCCTGGGTTCAAGCGATTCTCCTGCTTCAGCCTCCCAAGTAGCTGAGATTACAGGCACACACCACCATGCCCAGCTAATTTTTTTATTTTTATTTATTAATTTTTAAATTTTTATTTGTTTATTTATTTTTGAGACGGAGTCTCCCTCTGTTCCCCAGGCTGGAGTGCAGTGGCAGTATCTTGACTCACTGCAACCTCCGCCTCCTGGGTTCAAGTGATTCTCCTTCCTCAGCCTCCTGAGTAGCCGGGACTACAGGAGCCTGCCACCATGCCCGACTAACTTTTGTATTTTTAATAGAGATGGGGTTTCACCATGTTGGCCAGACTGCTCTCGAACTCCTGACCTTAGATGATCCACCTGCCTCGGCCTCCCAAAGTGCTGGGATTACAGGCATGAGCCACCATGCCCGACCTAATTTTTGTGTTTTTAGTAGAGATGGGGTTTCAACATGTTGGCCAGGCTGGTCTCAAACTCCTGACCTCAAGTGATCCACCCACCTCAGCCTCCCAAAATGTTGGGATTATAGGCATGAGCCACCGTGCCCATCCCACAGAATGTCTTTTGGTTTTGTTTTTGTTTTCTGTTTTGTTTTGTTTTGTTTGAAAAGGAGTCTCATTCTGTCGCCCAGGCTGGAGTGCAGTGGCACAATCTCGGCTCACTGCAACCTCCACCTCCCAGGTTCAAGAGATTCTCCTGCCTCAGCCTCCCAAGTAGCTGGGACTATAGGCGTAGGGACTGTAGGCGTATGCCACCACGCCTGGCTAATTTTTTGTATTTTTAGTAGACACGGGGTTTCACCATGTTAGCCAGGATGGTCTCGATCTCTTGACCTTGTGATCTGCTCACCTCAGCCTCCCAAAGTGTTGGGATTACAGGCGTGAGCCACAGCGCCTGGCCAAAATGTTTTTATGTTTATTTTTCTTAGTATGAAACTCCAGCGTATTAAAGAGCATTGAGAACGGTTGATCTGGTAAATCGCTATAAAGGCGGCATTTCTTTTTTTTTTTTTTTTTTTTTTTTTTGGCGAAGTGGGGGATGGAGTCTCATTCTGTCGCCCAAGCTGGAGTGCAGTAGTGTGATCTCGGCTCACTGCAAGCTCCGCTTCCCAGGTTCAAGCCATTCTCCTGCCTCAGCCTCCCAAGTAGCTGGGATTACAGGCGCCCGCCACCACGCCCAGCTAATTTTTTGTATTTTTAGTAGAGACAGGGTTTCACTGTGTTGGCCAGGCTGGTCTCGAACTCCTGACCTCATGATCCGCCCGCCTCGGCCTCCCAAAATGCTGGGATTAGAGGCGTGAGCCACCGCGCCAGGCCTAAAGGGGGCATTTCTAATACTGGAGAAAGGTGAACTTTTTTTTTTTTTTTTTTCCGAGACAGAGTCTCGCTGTGTCACCCAGGCTGGAGTGCAATGGCGCAATCTCAGCTTGCTACAACCTCCGCCTCCCGGGTTCAAGCAATTCTCCTGCCTCAGCCTCCTGAGTAGCTGGGCACCTGCCATCATGCCCAGCTAATTTTTGTATTTTTGTAGAGATGGGGGTTTCACCGTGTTGGCCAGGCTGGTCTTAAACTCCTGTCCTGACCTGAGGTGATCCACCCACCTCAGCTTCCCAAAGTGCTGGGATTACAGGTATGAGCCACTGTGCCTGACCAGGTGAACTATTTTATAAATAATATTGGAACATTTGGCTCATCTAGGGAAAAACAAGAGTCCCACCTCACACCTAATCAAAAAGTAAATTCCAGCAGATTAAATACCTGAATATGACAGGAAGGTACACACCAAATTCATGGGACAGATGGCCTGGGGAGGAATGAAACTTGGAAGGCGGTATCACGGTAAACTACCTTTATCTGTGATGATTTTATTTCCTTAAAATAAATTATACTACAAACATGACAGTACATTAACAAACCCTGTGGTAGGAATGGGGTTGTGTATTGTATTATACTTTGTATTTTTGAGAGTTTTTTAATTTCTTTTTTGTTGTTGTTGAGACAGAGTCTCACTCTGTCATCCAGGCTGGAGTCCAGTCGCGCAATCTTGGCTCACTGCAACCTCTGCCTCCCGGGTTCAAGCAGTTCTCTGCCTCAGCCTCCCAAGTAGCTGGGATTACAGGCATCCGCCACCACGTCAGGCTAATTTTTGTATTTTTAGTGGAGACGGGGTTTCACCATCTTGGCCAGACTGGTCTTGAACTCCTGACCTCATGATCCACCCACCTTGGGCTCCCAGAGTGCTGGGATTACAGGCATGAGCCACCGCGCCTGGCCGAGTTTTTTAATTTCTAAAAATAAAAATGAGTATACATCTAAAGTAGTAGAAGAAAATGCAGAGAATGTTTTATAATCTTAAAATAGAGCCTTCCTAAGAGTGAAGTGAAATAAAAAGTCAGAAAATAATATATTGATATAGATTTAACTACATGAAAATTTTAGGCCGGGTGCGGTAGCTCACACCTGTAATCCCACACTTTGGGATGCCAAGGTAGGCAGATCACTTGAGCCAGGAGTTCAAGACCAGCCTGAACAACACAGTGAGACCTGGTCTGTACAAAAAATACAAAATTAGCCAGGCGTGGTGGTACGTGGCTGTCGTCCTGTAGTCCCAGTTACTCAGGAGGCTGAGGTGGGAGGATCGCTTGAGCCCAGGTGGGGCAGAGTTTGCAGTGAGCAAGATCATGCCACCGCACTGCAGCCTGGGCAACAGGGTGAGACCTTGTCTCAAAAAGAAAAAAAAAGCTTTTTTAAAGATAGATAGAAGAAAATGTTTGCAATATGTATAACACATACAGTATATAGAACCCTCATATCAATATATATAATTTCCAAAGAAAAAGTGGATAAAGAATATGAGCAATTCATTCACAAAAAATACAAATAGCCAAAAGACATGAAAAAGAAAAAAACATTGTTAATAAAATAATTTTTTAATCTATCCAACTGGCAAAATTAAAAGGGTTGATGATATTCAATTTTGGTAAAGGAAGACATAGGCACACTTGTATATTGGCACAAACTTATTGAGAGCAGTTTGACCAAATTGCGCATGTCCTTTGACTCAGAAATTCCACTTATGAAAATCTACCCCCACAGAAAGACTGTAAGATACTCATGAGGCTGAACATTTTTTGAAACAAAGTCTATCGATATTGGGGTAAGGAGATTTGTTTTGTACACACAGTGGAACACTAATTATAAAGTCGTCAAAAAGTATGAGGTAGACTGTATATATTCCTGTGGAAAAATATAAATGAGATGTTAAATGAAAGAAGCAAGTTGCCAAGCAATATTTGTAGTATGGTTACATATCTCCAAATAAATGTGTCATATGTATGCTTTTAGGTACACCAAGGTGGGACTGGAAGGGATCACAGTACACTGTTAATAGTTATCAAATTTGTTCGTCCTTCTTTAAAAAGAAAATTTCAACTTAATTATATCCCTTTCACATTAAAATGTCAAATAAAATTGGGGGAAAAGCCACCTACAGCCCCACCACCCATAGGCTAGAATTTTTACATATTTTTTGCCAGTCTATTTTTTTTCTTTTTTTTTTTTTTTTTTTGAGATGGGAGTCTCCCTCTGTTGCCCAGGCTGGAGTGCACTGGCATGATCTCAGCTCACTGCAACCTCTGCCTTCCAGGTTCAAGTGATTCTCCTGACTCAGCCTCCCAAGTAGCTGGGATTACAGGCACATGCTACCACGCCTGGCTAATTTTTGTATTTTTAGTAGAGACAGGGTTTCACCATGTTGGCCAGGCTGGTCTCGAACTCCTGACCTCAGGTGATCCACCCGCCTCAGCCTCCCAAAGTGCTGGGATTACAGGCCATGAGCCACCACGCCCGGCCTCTTTTTTTCCAACCATAGGATTTGGTCTCTTGTTTTAGACAGTTATTATCTGATCCTCTCTCTCTCTCTCTTTTTTTTTTTTTTTTTTTTTTTTGAGATAGAGTCTCACCCTGTCACCCAGGCTGGAATGCAGAGGCGCGATCTCGGCTCACTGCAACCTCCGCCTCCCAGGTTCAAGCAGTTCTCTGCCTCAACCTCCCAAGTAGCTGGGATTACAGGCGTCAGCCACCACGCCTGGCTAATTTTATATATAATATAAAATATAATTATATATATATTTTGTTTGTTTGTTTTAGTAAAGACGGGTTTTCACCATCTTGGCCAGGCTGGTATTGAACTCCTGACCTTGTGATCCATTGTCCCCCCCCCCCAGCCTCCCAAAGTGCTGGGATTACAGGCGTGAGCCACCGTGCCTGGCCACATCTGATCCTCTCTACAGTTTTGTAGCCAGCTTTTTTCAAACACATGCCTCAGTTGTAGTGGCTGTTTAATATTATGTTTTTATAGTTGGAGGCCCTACTCCTTAAAACCTATGAATGTAAACCTCCCATGCAAGCCTGAGCACTCACCATGCTCACCACCTGAGCTCAGGTGGGGAACAAGCGAATGAGAGACAGGACCAGGTACTTTCTGGGTGGGACAAGTTGAGAGGGTCTGTGACAGGTCACAGCAGCACTAGGGAGAAGTGCCCCCCCCACCAACCCTGATGTGATTTGGGTAGGGATGGTGGGCCTTCGCCAGCCACACCTGGGCCATTCTGTCTTCTTGCCTTCCTGGCCTTGCCTTCCCCTATTCCAGCTTTCTGCCAGGTAAACAGTACTTTCCAGCACTACCAAATAAAGATTTAAGGACTGCTAGCCCATTTCCTCTTACCCCGGGGAAAGAAAGTAGGTCCACAGGAAGGAAGGCTGCCTCCCTCCCCTTCTTCTATCCCCCAAGTGAAAGAGGTGGTTGGTGGCCACAGCAGGTGGGCCTGGCCAGGATGCCTGGGTTGGCAGTGAAGGAAGTAGCATGGCACTCAGCTAACCTTGGGCCAGATGCAGCAAGGTTGGGACTGAAGAAAAGGGGAGTTCAGGAACGTCGGTTCCTCTCCTGTTTTCTCTCAGCCCATGGGTGAGACCCTCTGTCACACTCCACTCCCTTTCCCCTGCCCTAGGTCAGCAGTCATTTGGAAAGAGCTTGCTCTGCCGCCGGCCATAGTTGTTGCCGGTTCACCTCCCCACCCCTCTCCCATCATCCCCTGGTAAGGCTGGCTGAGAGAAATTCCCCTGAAAACATTTATTTTACTCAGTTTATTGATAAGTGATAATAAAAGATAAGTATTACATATTTGTGTATTTATTAATGGCCCAGAGTAGAGCATTCAGATATTTTCCCAGTCTGATATATGGTTTCAGGTGAGAAAATAAGGGATTTATATAGTGACAATATTTTTAAGTGAAAAGTGGAATACATAGTCAAAGAATTTGGGCACTGCCTTGGTGGCTGGAGGCAGGTCAGAAAATGTCAGTTGGCATGGTAGAACTTCTAGGATGCTGAAATAGTTTGTGGAGACACAAGTAAGAATTTTTTTTTTTTTTTTTTGAGACGGAGTCTTGCTCTGTCACCTAGGCTGGAGTGCAGTGGCACGATCTCGGCTTACTACAAGCTCCACCTCCCGGGTTCACATCATTCTCCTGCCTCAGCCTGCCGAGTAGCTGGGACTGCAGGCGCCCGCCACCAGGCCTGGCTAATTTTTTGTATTTTTTAGTAGAGATGGGATTTCACCATGTTAGCCAGGATGGTCTTGATCTCCTGACCTCGTGATCCGCCCGCCTCGGACTCCCAAAGTGCTGGGATTACAGGCGTGAGCCACCGCGCCTGGCCGAGAATATTTTAAACTACCACACTTACCATGCATGTGGTAAACTATCAGTCTGTATTTATCAGTGATGGTTATTTCCTAATACCCAGGAGGCATCCATGTGAGCCACCCTTCCATTGCTTTAAGACCAAGGGAGTGAGTGACCAGCAGGATTCAAGATGGCAGCTCTGCCGAGGAGTGGGAGTCCCAGCTAACTTCTGCTCCCTGCTCTCCCACCAACAGCCTACACCGATTTCTTCCTCCCGCTGCTAAGCCGCTGTCCCTCCGCCATGGGAATAAAGAATAAGGATGGGGAGACCCCTGGCCAAATTTTGGGCTGGGGACCCCCCTGGGATTCTGCTGAAGAGGAGGAAGAAGATGATGCCTCCAAGGAGCGGGAATGGAGACAGAAGCTCCAGGGTGAGCTGGAGGACGAGTGGCAGGAAGTCATGGGGAGGTTTGAAGGTGAGAAGTCCACTGCTATCCACAGCTGCCCTTCCCCACTGGCTGCTTTCCATCTGCATGAATGCGTCACACTAGGCTCCTCTGCCCCCTCCTCTGTGCTTCCCTGCTTCTTGGGGCCCATCACCTTCTCACAGCCTCTCTCCAACTACCCCCATCCCACCCTCCCAAACAGGTGATGCCTCCCATGAAACCCAGGAACCTGAGTCCTTCTCAGCCTGGTCAGATCGCCTGGCCCGGGAACATGCCCAGAAGTGCCAGCAGCAGCAGCGAGAAGCAGAGGGATCCTGTCGACCCCCACGTGCTGAGGGCTCCAGCCAGAGCTGGCGACAGCAGGAGGAGGAGCAGCGGCTCTTCAGGGAGCGAGCCCGGGCCAAGGAGGAAGAGCTGCGTGAGAGCCGAGCCAGGAGGGCGCAGGAGGCTCTAGGGGACCGAGAACCCAAGCCAACCAGGGCCGGGCCCAGGGAAGAGCACCCCAGAGGAGCGGGGAGGGGCAGCCTCTGGCGATTTGGTGATGTGCCCTGGCCCTGCCCTGGGGGAGGGGACCCAGAGGCCATGGCTGCAGCCCTGGTGGCCAGGGGCCCCCCTTTGGAGGAACAGGGGGCTCTGAGGAGGTACTTGAGGGTCCAGCAGGTCCGCTGGCACCCTGACCGCTTCCTGCAGCGATTCCGAAGCCAGATTGAGACCTGGGAGCTGGGCCGTGTGATGGGAGCAGTGACAGCCCTTTCTCAGGCCCTGAATCGCCATGCAGAGGCCCTCAAGTGACCCTAGGGAAGAAGCAAGAAACTTCGGGGCTGCAGCCTCAGGATGAGGCAGAAGGAAGGGTAAGGGAAAGGATGGGGACCACAAGGAAGAGCCAGGTGCTGCTCAGCAGAGGATATGGGTGGGAGCGAAAGTTGTAACAAGTGGGGGTGGGGGGTGCGGGCCGCCACCACTGCTCCTTGACTCTGCCGTTTCCTAATAAGACCTGGTTCCACATCTCACTCCCAGTGTCTCCTCTGTCTTTTTCCATTGCTGTGGTTTTCATCACCCATGACATCTCCTTTCCCGCCCCGCCTGCTGAAACCCACAGCTCCCACACACCTGCAACACACACGCACACGCTAACACGGGCTCTGAGCTGGAGGCAAGAAGCCTCTGCATGCCCCCTCAGTTCAGCCCTAAGAAGGCCCAGTTTGCCATCCAGTCTCACTCCACTCCCTACACTGGGGTCTTGTCCACCCTGCAATCTGTGGCTGGAGAAATAGATGCGAACAGAGGCAAAAAGGGGAACAAAACCAGTTTCCCTCCCCTCCCTGGCTCCCCAAGCTGAACCACATCCTCCTCCCCACTTAACACCCCCTTCCCCCAACACAGGGCTTTCCCTTTGCTGAGTCACTGAATGAGCGAGTTGGGGGTAGCCGGCGCTGGGGGGCCATGAGGAGGCTGGGGGAGGATGGGGAATACAAGCAGAATGGCTGGAGGAAGAGCCCTGTGGGGGAGTGGAATTTCAGTTGCTAAAATTAGGAGCAGGGGAAGGAGGTGGAAAGAGCAAAATTATGTAACATGGGTTGTCTGTTCTTGGGCAACTGGAGCTCCACACCCAAAGCCAGCCAGGCTGCTGGCTCCATCCATCTCTGCCCTCTAGCTTGTCAGTTGTATCTCTCTTCCTCCAGGGCCCCAATCCTCATCTCCGCCATTCAGCTGCTGCCCCATCCTAAACCTGAGTTCATCTCTGGGCAGCCCAGGCATGGCCTTCCCTATAAACATTTCCTTTTCCAAGAACCAGTAGTTGAAGTCCTGAGAGGTGGAGGGAGAGTCTGGGATTCCCACGGAGGAGAGAGGGGGGCTCCCTGGAAACTAAGATAGGTAGACCCCACTACCATCGCCCAGGACACAACTGGGAACTTGGCAAAAAGAAAGGACAGGGCTGCAAGGAGAGTACAGACATGTGCTGGTGAGTGCACTGTCTGCATAGTTACACCAGAGCATCTTATCAATCAGAAACTTATCTTTCAGGTTTTGAGCCCAGTTCTCTACAGGAGAATCCCAGGAGTGGAAGTGGAAGGCAGTAGAAGACAGGGAGGGCACGCCTCTGGGAACACGGGAACATGGGTGGGCATGAGATCCTTGAATAAGACAGCCTGAAGTTCGGAAGAGACCAAGGCCTCTGAAGGACCAGGCAGATGTTCAGGGTGCAGGAGGGGGAAGGGCTGGTGAGAAAGATCCTGTGAGAGGAAGCTGCTGTGATTCAGAGAAGAGACTTCAAGCTGTGTGTGACCCTGGCGTCCGGTTCCTCTCACAGGCTGGAGCTTTTCGGAAGTGGCATGCAAAGAGTCCAGGTTTGGCCTTGGGGGGAGTTGGGGTTAGGATCCCTAAGCTGGAGGTTGAGAAGTAAATTACAGAAAACTCTGGTGACCAAATTTGCTCCTCCACCCAGGAGATTTCTCACTGGTTTTTAAGCACATCATTTCCCCTTCTGCAAGAGTTACATAAAACCAAAGCAAAATAAGCCCTGAAACCTGGGTCCACCGGACCACAGTCTTTTCAACGTCCCTTCCTGGTGTCTGGCCCCCAGCCCTGGTGGGGGTTCCCCTGAGATAAGGGCTGTTCACTTTCTCTGACCACATGGTTTCCGCTTCTGTGTCTCTTGTTTCCTAGGCTGATAAAAATACTGAGCCCTAGAGGCCCTGGCTTCCTCTGACCCCTTGGGGCAGGCAGCACGCATCCTGTCCAGCATGGTGGGGGCAGGGACAGGGGCCAGGGATTCCCAAGGGGTGACTCAGTGCCTGCCATGAAACAGTGGGTAGGTGGAAGTGTATCTCTGCTCTCTAGAGCTGGCACCAGGAGTTGAGTCTCAGTGGAGGATGCATTGGGATTCAATTGGAGGAACAGGCCTGGAAAAGAATAATGAGATTGAAGAGGGTCAGTTTGAGGACTCAGGTTGGGGCAGGTTTGGATTAAGTTAGGAAAAGGATCTGGGAGGGACTCTGTTCAGTGTAGGTCAACTGAGCATTATGTAGCCCAAAGATAAATTTAAACCCTGCTTCAAGCTTACAATCTAGTGGGGAGGCAGACCCATACCTAGTTAACTGATTCAAGGCATGATGAGTAAACTTTAAGATGATTACAGAAAGAGGGGAGATTAAGTCCATTTGAAAGCATCCAGGGAGCCTCTGAGGAGACAGCATTTGAACTTGCTCTAATGAATGGGTTCACTAGGTGGAGGTGGATGGAAAGGTTCCATAGGCGAATAACACGTCTTGAGCGAGCCTGACAAGTCAGAAAATGCAGTATGTTCTGGGAAAGGAGCGTCCTGAGGGAGAAGAAGCACAGGTGTGAGGGAACATGTGATGAAGAAAGGACCACAGAAAGTCAAGGTCAGAGATTGGACTGCATCCTGTGGGCAGTGGTCCAGGTGACGATGAAAAAGAGGGAGAACAGGTGAGTGCTGCAGTACAGACAAGGAGTAAGAAAACGGCCATCATCTTGTGAATTAATACCTACTGTGTGTTAACCAGCCCTTTTCCTAACACCACAAATCCTCTCAACGTCTGTCCAAAAGGTGGGTGGTGGTGGCCAGGCACCTCACTCCTGTAATCACAGCACTTTGGGAGGCCAAGGTGGGAGCACTTTGGGAGGATCACTTGAGGCCAGGAGTTCGAGACCAGCCTGGCCAACATGGTGAAACCCCGTCTCTACTAAAAATATAAAAACTAGCTGGGTGTGGTGGTGGGCACCTGTAATCCCAGCTACTCAGGTGTCTGAGGCACAAGAATCACTTGAACCCGGGAGGCAGAGGTTGCAGTGAGCTGAGATCATGCCTCTGCTCTCCAGTCTGGGTGACAGAGCAAGACTCTGTATCCAAAAAAAAAAAAAATTATTAAGCACCTATTAGGAGCAGGGCACTGCTTGACAATAGGTATAAATAATAAAGTCACTGCCTTCATAGAACTTGCAGTCTAATGAGACAGTATACAAATAATAACTATACATTATAGTTATAATGTATAGGTATGCCTGCTTAGGGTAATAAAGTGCTCAATGAAGGTTTGAGGTACCAGCATGACTCTCAGGTGGAGATTTCCAGAAAGCAGGTCTGGAGCTCAAGAGAAGTTGGGTCTGGAGGAACAGATTTGGGCATCATTCCCTTCCCAGTAGAGGTTGAGCCTTTGAGTGGACAGGATCTTCAAGGGAGGGGGCGGAGTGACCAGAAGAGCCCTGAGCATGATCAAAGGAAGAGAACCAATAAAGGAGAGGTTGGGGAGCAGTCAGAGAAGTAGGGCACGGGGGGCGGGGGATGCCAAGCAGAGACAGGGCAGCCATGTTTGAGGCTTCAAAGAGGTCTAGTAAATGAGGGTTGAAAAGATTGTTGGGTTCAGGAACTAGACGATTACAAATTTTGAGAAAACCGTTTCCATTTAATAGAGGGGCAGAAATCACTTTACATAGGTTGAGGAATGAGTGGGAGGTGAGGAAAAGGAGGTGGTGGGCATGAGGTCAGAATGGTGAACACAGAATAACTGAGAATCATCTCTTAGTTCTACCCACAGATTTTACAGTTGAGGGAAATTTTACCAGTTCCTGAAAAAGTGGTTCGTTAAGGGGGCTAGTCTTTTGAGACATCACACGAAAACGGAAGGTGAGATAGACTGGACATTTGAGGGAGAAATATTCCAAGGAAGGATCTTTTTTGTTGTTTATTTTCAAGAAATAAAATTGAAGGTAAAATGAAGATGCTTAAAGAGACAAAGATAGGCCAGGTGCAGTGGCTCACACCTGTAATCCCAGCACTGTGGGAGGCCAAGGTGGGCAGATCACTTGAGGCCAGGGGTTCAAGACTAGTATGGCCAACATGGCAAAACCGCATCTCTACGAAAGATACAAAAATTAGCCAGGCGTGGTGGCACATGCCTGTGGTCCCAGCTATTCACTGAGGTGGGAGAATCGCTTGAACTCAGGAGGCAGAGGTTGCAGTGAGCCGAGATCACACCACTGCACTCCAGCCTGGGTGACAGAGCGAGACTCAGTCTCAAAAAAAAAAAAAAAAAGCCCAGGTGCGGTGGCTCACCCTTGTAATCCCAGCGCTTTGGGAGGCTGAGGTGGGCAGACTATAGATATCAGGAGTTCAAAACCAACCTAGCCAACATAGTGAAATGCTGTCTTTACTAAAAATACAAAAATTAGCTGGGCGTGGTGGCACACACCTGTAACCCCAGCTACTCAGGAGGCTGAGGCAGGAGAATCACTTGAACCCGAGAGGTAGAGGTTGCAGTGAGCCGAGATCGCGCCACTGCACTCCAGCCTGGGCAACAGAGCAAGCCTATCCCAAAAACAAACAAGAAAGGGAGAGATAGTGAAAACATAAGCAAGAAGTGGGGAGAGAATATAGTAAAGATAGAGGAAGTGGGATAGAGTACAGATAAAAGGATCAGTCTTGGAAACAAGAAAAAGTACTGTGAGTCAGTATGTAAGGAAAGATTAAATATAACAAAATTAAGGAAAAAGAGGGAAGTGAGATCCACACTTGATGGCCTTAAGCTCAATGAAATATTAATAGATGAGAGTGAAGAACATCAGAGGCACGGAGATTTAGAACATCACGCACAGGAGTATAATGGGGAGTCAACAAAGAATGAGTAAAAGTTGTGTCCAAGAACACTGATGACTCTCTGAGATTAGCTGGCCAGGATTAGTTATAGGCCTCTTATGGTGACTCAGCTGTCTACTGCAGCGCTTGGCAGCCTAAGACAAAGCCCCAAGAATGAGACCACTTAGTTTACCCAAGTCAATTTTTGAGACAGAGTTTCACTCTTGTTGCCCAGGCTGGAGTGCAATGGCTCAATCTTGGTTCCCTGCAACCTCTGCCTCCCGGGTTCAAGCGATTCTCCTCCCTCAGCCTCCAGAGTAGCTGGGATTACAGTTGCCCACCATCACGCCCAGCTAATTTTTGTATTTTTAGTAGAGATGGGGCTTCACCACATTGGCCGGGCTGGTCTCGAACTCCTGACCTCAGGTGATCCGCCCACCTTGGCCTCCCAAAGTGCTGGGATTACAGGTGTGAGCTACGGTGCCCGGCGGTAAGAGATTCTAAAATGCAGACAAAGTGGAGTTGAAATTGTTGACCATGCAGTACATGTTAAATCAACAAGCAAAACCAGGAAAGCAGAAGCAGCCGGAAGTCTTGGTAAGAATAAAGAACTGATTCAAGGGGAGGCAGAGAGTGGGAGATGTGAAAAGTGAGTGGTTGTGATGAGAAGGGTAATTCAGAGATCAAGATCTTGAAGGCATAATTCTTCCAAGTGATGCTGGGGTTTGAGGTACAACCTTACTCCTGGGTGGCTAAAATGGAGGAGGGAAGAAGAGGCTGTAAAACCAGTAGACTTGAGAAACTTGGAGAATTGAGAGGCCAGACTGTAAGACTCATCTGATCTGTGTGGCTTCTTTTTTTATTTTTATTTTTTTCCTCTGAGACGAAGTCTCGCTCTGTCACCCAGGCTGGAGTGCAGTGGTGTGATCTGGGCTCACTGCAAGATCGCCTCCCGGGTTAATGCCATTCTCTCGCCTCAGCCTTCCGAGTAGCTGGGACTACAGGCACCCACCACCACGCCCAGCTAATTTTGTTTTTGTATTTTTAGTAGAGACGGGATTTCACCTTGTTAGCCAGGATGGTCTCGATCTCCTGACCTCGTGATCCACCCGCCTCAGCCTCCCAAAGTGCTGGGATTACAAGTGTGAGCCACTGCGCCCAGCCGATCTTTGTGGCTTTTAAAGTCACTAAAGATGGTGGTAGGAGGCCGGGTGCGGTGGGTCATGCCTGTAATCCCAGCACTTTGGGAGGCTGAGGCGGGTGGATTGCTTGAGCTCAGGAGTTCAAGACCAGCCTAGGCAACATAGCAAAACCCTATCTCTGGAAAAAAAAAAAAATACAAAACTTAGCCGGGCATGGTGGTATGCGCCTGTAGTCCTAGCTACTCAGGAGGCTGACGTGGGAGGATCACTTGAGCCCAGGAGGTCGAGGCTGCAGTGAGCCAAGATCACGCCACTGCACTCCAGCCTGGGTGACAGAGCAATACCTTGTCTCAAAAAACAAACAAACAAGGATGATGGTAGGGATAAGATGTGGAGAAAGACTGAGCTAGTTATACAAGTTGTTAAGAGCATAATAAATATTTTGATGGATAAGATTGTGCTGTGAAGACAGGAAGAGCATGGCAAATGCAAAAGGCACGTGCTTTGGGAGATGAGGAGGAGTTTATCAGTGGTCTGGGGGAGAGAAAATAACGACCCCTCTCTTCTGCCTTCATTCCCCTAGTGATGGAGGTCGAAGAAAGAGCAACCTTCACCACAGAGAGGAGTAGCATCATTAGGGGAAAGCCAGGTTTCAAAATGCCCAGAGGAAAATGCTTTCAAACATAGAAGACAGGATTTGAAAATGTGAAGAGTTCCACCAAATATTGTGAAATGGATTGGTAGAAGGGTCCTTGTGGGGTAGGGAATTGAATCCAGGGAGGTTAAATCCCAGTGGGAATTCAGAAGACTAAGTCTGGAGAGTTTAGCTTCTAGGAGCAGGAGGTTGTTGCCTCTGGAATTCAGAATGGAAGATGCACTGCATCCATTGTGAGGGGAAACAAGTGCCTCAAAGGGGTCTTATAGGGATGCACAAGATAAGTTCCATGGCTTTAAACACCATCCTCATGCTGACCATGCCCAGGTTTCTTTCTCTAGCTTGGACCTTGCCCCTGAAATCCAGATGTGTATCTGCCCAGTGACATCTCTACTTGCATGTCTAATAGACTTAGACTTACCACACCCAAAATAGAATTTTTTAGTTTTTCCATCCATCAGAATCCTGCTTCTCTCCCAGTATCTACATCTCCCACCCATCAATCCATCATCTAGTCCTGTTGTTTCTACCCCTGGAATGTATAATATATCCCAAACTTGTCTACTTCTCTCCATCTCCATGGCTGCCACTATTTTCTCTTCACCATCAATGCCACTGCCACCTGTCTCCTACCAGCCAGCCTAAACACAGGAGCCACAGTGATCTTTTAAAAACAAGTCCAGGCTGGGCGCGTTGGCTATGCCTATAATCCCAGCACTTTGGGGGGCCGAGGTAGGTGGATCACGAGGTCAGGAGTTCAAGACCAGCCTGCCCAACATGATGAAACCCTATCTCTACTAAAAATACCAAAATTAGCCAGGCACGGTGGCGCATGCCTGTAATCCCAGCTACTCGGGGGGCCGAGGCAAGAGAATCGCTTGAACCTGGGAGGTGGAAGTTGCAGTGAGCCAAGATCATGCCGTAGCACTCCAACCTGGGCAACAGAGCGAGACGCCATCTCAAAAAAAAAAAAAAGTCCAGGCAAGGCTCAGTGGCTCATGCCTGTAATCCCAACACTTTGCGAGGCTAAGGTGCAAGGATTGCCTGAGGCCAAGAGTTGAAGGCTGCAGTGAGCTATGATGGTGCCATTGCACTCCAACCTGGGCAGAAAAGTGAGACTCCATCTCTTAGAAAAAAAAAACCAGGCCGGGTGCAGTGGCACATGTCTGTAATTCCAGCACTTCGGGAGGCTGAGGCAGGCGGATCACTTGAGGTCAGGAGTTCAAGACCAGCCTGGCCAACATGGTGTACTTTCTATACTAAAAGTACAAAAATTAGCCAGGCATGGTGACATGCACCTATAATCCCAGCTACTTGGGAGACTGACATAGGTGGATTGCTTAAACCTGGGAGGCAGAGGTTGCAGTGAGCCGAGATTGTGCCACTGCACTCCAGCCTGGGTGACAGAGCGATTCTGTCTTAAAAGAAAAAAAAAAAAAAAAGGCTGGGTGCGGTGTCTCACGCCTGTAATCCCAGCACTTTGGGAGGCCGACGCAAGTGGATCGCCTGAGGTCAGGAGTTCGAGACCAGCCTGGCCAAGATGGTGTACTTTCTCTACTAAAAGTACAAAAATTAGCCAGGCATGGTGGCATGCACCTATAATCCCAGCTACTCAGGAGGCTAAGACAGGAGAATCGTTTGAACCCGGGCAGCAGAGGTTGCAGTGAGCTGAGATTACGCCATTGCACTCCAGCCTGGGCAACAGAGTGAGACTCCGTCTCCAAAAAAAAGAAAGAAAAAAAATCCAGGGCCAGTGTGGTGACTCATGCCTGTAATCCCAAAACTTTGGGAGGCTGGCCCAGCATGGTGGCTCACACCTGTAATCCCAAAACTTTGGGAGGCTGAGGCAGGCGGATCACCTGAGGTCAGGAGTTTGAGATCAGCCTGACTAACATGGTGAAACCCCATCTCTACTAAATACAAAAAATTAGCCGGGAATGGTGGCATGCACCTGTAATCCCAGCTACTTGGGAGGCTGAAGCAGGAGAATCGCTTGAACCCAGGAGGCAGAGGTTGCAGTGAGATGAGATCAGTCATTGCACTCCAGCCTGGGCAACGAGCGAAACCGCCTCTCAAACTAACAAAAAAAAACTTTGGGAGGCCAAGATGGGCAGATCACTTGAAACCAGGAGTTCGAGACCAGCCTGAGCAGCATAGACCCTGTCTCAACAAAAATTTTAAAATATTTTTTAAAATTAGCCAGGCACAGTGGCACACACCTGTAGTCCTAGATACTTGGGAAGCTGAGGTGGAAGGATGACTTGAGCCCATGGTTTTGAGGTTGCAGTGGGCTATGATGGTGCCACTGCACTCCAGCCTAGGCCACAGAGCAAGACACCATGTCAAAAGAAAAAAAAATCCAATCACCTCTGCTCACCTCCCTCTTCTCTCTCTCTCTCTCTCTCTCCCTCCCCCTCTCTCCCCTGCAACACACACACACACACACACACGCACGCACCACACACTCTGACGACCTTTAAAGGCTTCCTGTGGCTGGATGAAATCTAGAGGCTTTACCCTTCTTGCATGGCCCTGCATGACCTGGCCCCTGCCCTCCTCTCTGACCTCATCTCCCACCCGCCTCCCAGTCTCTCTCTCTGCTCCAGCCACACTGGCCTTCTGTTTGTCGTCAACACCCCCAGCTTGGTTCCGCCTTCCAGCCTTTGCAGTAGCTGCTCCCTTTACCTGAAATGCTTTGCTCCCAAACTTTTACCTGGTCACTATTTTTTGTCATTTGGGTCTCAGCTCCAGTGCCACCCAAACACTCAAAGAGGATTTTGCTGACTACTGTATTTAAAAGTAGCTCCCTGCCACTCTTACAACATCAGCCTGTCTTATTTTCTCATAGTACCAATTTCTTCTTCAGTTTCTTTCTTTTCCGTCTGGCCTCACTGGAATACAAGCTCCACAGGTGCTGGTACCTTCTCTGATCCCTTTGCCTCCATGTCCCTCCTGCCTTAGGACAATGCCCAGCATGTGTTAGGCACGCAGATACTCACTAAATGGAGGAATGGATGAATAATTCATAAAGCAGGATAAAGTTCAACTTTAGGCTTGTGGCTCAGATTGGACTTACATTTAGAGTCAGATTTAAGTTTAGTGTTAGGAGTGGTGGTAAACTGGTTTCAAGATTAGCCCTAGAAACAGGGTTGGGTTGGGGTAGAGGAGAAGTTTTATTTAGGGGGTTATTAATTGGGATGTGTTTAGATTTGAGGTTAGGGTTACAGTTGGGGTTGAGTTTGAGTTGTGATTTGGGTTGAGGTTAAATTTGGGTTAGGGTTGATGTTGGTATTAAATCCCAATTCAGGTTTTGAGGCTAAGTTCAAGTTTGAAGCTAATGTCATTTCAGTCTCATTTGGAGGCTTCAGAGATTTCACTAGTTTCTCCACAAAGACCACTATAAAGACTGTATTTCCCTGAGTCTGGGGCACAAGACTCCAGTCATCAGCTCTCCCACCCAGGGAAAGTCCCAAACCAACTGCTGGCCTGCCCAAGAAAGAAACCAAATTCATACAACCTCCGAAACTGAGATTGAAACCAAGATTGGCCCATCTCAAGGAGCATCCTTCGCATATCTCACATGCACGTGACACTGAGCCTCAGCCCAGTCTTACCCTTCCTTCCTCTGTGTCTCTCATGTCTCCCCATCACCCTTCTTGCCTTCCCTTTTTTGTCTTTCAATGTCCCATTCTTCCTCTTTAATTTAAATTTCTCTCTGTGTCTCACTGTTAATTGCAATACCTTTTTTTGTTTGCTTGTTTTGTTTTGTTTTGTTTTTTGGTTGGTTTGTTTGAAATGGAGTCTCACTTTGTTGCCCAGGCTGGAGGGCAGTGGCACGATCTCGGCTCACTGCAACCTCCGCCTCCTGGGTTCAAGCAGTTCTCCTGCCTCAGCTTCCCTAGTAGCTAGGATTACAGGCGCGTGCCACCATGCTCGGCTAATTTTTTGTATTTTTAGCAGTGATGGAGTTTCACCGTATTAGCCAGGATTGTCTCTATCTCCTGACCTTGTGATCTGCTCGCCTCAGCCTCCCAAAGTGCTGGGATGACAGGCATGTGCCACTGCTCCTGGCCTTGTAATAACATTTTATATTTTAATATAGCTCAGCTGGGGTCCCAGTCCATCAGCTCATACCATTAGAGAAGCAGAAAGAGACAACAGGAAGCAAAAAGGACCCTGAGAGAAAGGGCAACACAGAGAAAAAGAAAGGAGCAGGGGCTAAAAGGGAAACCCACACTGACACAAGAGATAATAAGGTTAAAAGAATGAGAAGAAGGTTGGGCCCAGTGGCTCACGCCCATAATCCCAGCACTTTGGGAGGCCAAGGCTGGTGGGTCACCTGTGGTCAGGAATTCAAGACCAACCTGGCCAACATGGTGAGACCCCGTCTCTACTAAAAATACAAAAAAAAATTTGGCGGGCTTGGTGGCGTGTGCCTGTAATCCCAGCTACTCGGGAGGCTGAGGCAGGAGAATAGCTTGAACCTGGGAGGCAGAGGTTGCAGTGAGCCAAGATCGTGCCACTGCACTCCAGCCTGTGCGACAGTGAGAAACTGTCTCAAAAAAAAAAAAAGGAAAAGAAATTTTCTGACCTATCTCATCTGATAGTAGGTTATAAGACCCTCATTCCAGAAGAGGTTCTGCCCTATACCTGGGAGGAAGGAATGCTGTACAGAGAGACCAAGAAGAATATGGCCAGGCCTTGCTGGGATCCCCCCAGTCCCAGTCTGTGACCATTAGATGATACTCCTTTTGTTCAATTACATTTCTGCACAGCTGTTCATTCTTCATCAAATCTAAGCATAAAAATAGTTTTCCCCTGGGTCCTTGGGTCTTCATTTCTGAAGGCTCCCATGTCACCTAAAACTTTGATTAAATAAATGTATTATGCTTTTCTCTTGTTAATCTGTCTTTTATTATAGGAGTATTGGCCATAACCCTTATGATGGGTCAGGAAGGGATCACCCCTTTCTGCCCCTACAGAAATAATAGCTAAGACTAGTAAAGCATAAAAGGCAAAGGGGCAGGTCCTCAAGTAGAGAAGAACAGGAGAAATAGCTCATACACACCCAGAATGTTACTTACATGTCCCTCCATGTTACACCAAGACCCCTCAGGGACCTTGTGCCTGGGGAGAGAAGTGGTCTGCCCCATGCAACAGTGGGCTTTACCCCGGGTCACCACCAGCCCCAGCTCCAACCCCTCTAACACTCTCCAAGTAAAATCACATCAGTAGCAGTAATAATATTTGAGGTGACAAGTTGGTATTATCTCAAACTTAGGAAAAGTGAATAAAGTCATCTTTAGAAACTGCTTTTTTTAAACCTTGTAACTTGCAAGCTAAGTGAAAATGGGCTCATGTATGAGAATGTTCGTGTTAGACATTTTTTGTGTTAGACAAAAACTAGAAACAAACCAAATCCCCATCAACAGAATATATTAGAATATATTGATACAATAGAATATTACATCATAATTTTTTTTAAAAACATTACTGATACATACAACCACGTATATGAATCTCACAAACATAATGCTGACTGAAAGAAGTCAAACAGAAATGAGTACATTCTGTGTGATTTCATTTATATGATGCCCCAAACCAGGAGGAAATAATCTATGGTGATAAAAGTGAGAGAGTGGTTGGTTATCTTTGGAGGGTATCAGCAGGGAGGGGGCATGAGGGAACCTGCTGGGGACCTGAAAATACGTGGAGCTGGGTGGTGGCTACATACAGATGGAAAAATTCATCAGCTGTACACTTAAGAGGTGTCCACCTCATACCTAAGTTACATATCAATAAAAAGGAAAAAAATTTTGGAAACTTTTTTTTTTTTTTTTGAGACAGAGTCTTGCTCTGTCCCCCAGGCTGGAATACAGTGGTGCGATCTTGACTCACTGCAGCCTCCGCCTCCCAGGTTCAAATAATTCTCCAGCCTCAGCCTCCCGAGTAGCTGGGACTGCAGATGCGCACCAGCACGCCTGGCTAATTTTTGTATTTATTATAGAGATGGGGTTTCACCATGTTGGCCAGCTGGTCTCAAACTCCTGACCTCAAGTAATCCGCCCACCTCAGACTCCCAAAGTGCCAGGATTACAGGTGTGAGCCACTGCACCAGGCCTGGAACAATTTTAAAATAATGTATTGGCTCTGCAAATGCAGCTTCAGAACAAGTCCCTTAGCTGTCCCCACCCCACCCTAAGTCACCACCCTTAAGCCTCACCCATGTGGAATTCTGAAACTTCCTTTGTAGAAAACTTTGGAAGGTGTCTGCCACATTGATCCTGGAATGTGTGTTTATTTGGGGTTATATAAATCTGTTCTGTGGAAGCCACCTGAAGTCAGGAAGAGATGGAGGGCATCCTTCAGGAGTGAGATGAGACCTCATCATACTTGACTGTCCAGCATCATCTCTGAGTAAGGGGACCAAAAAATTTATCTTCCAAACTAGGACACTTTCAAGAGTGGAAGGGGGATCCATTAATATTTTCACCTGGACAAGAGGCAAACACCAGAATGTCCCCGATGAAGGGGATATATAATGGACCTTCTTGATGTGAAACCTGCCAGATGGGCTGGAAAGTCCGTATACTGGGACAAGTATGATTTGAGTTGTTTGGGACAAGGACAGGGGTACAAGAGAAGGAAATGGGCAAAGAGAGAAGCCTGTACTCAGCCAAGGGTGCAGAGATGTTATATATGATTGCTCTTCAGGGAACCGGGCCTCCAGCTCACACCCCAGCTGCTCAACCGCCTCCTCTCTGAATTGACTGTCCCTTCTTTGGAACTCTAGGCCTGACCCCACTCCCTGGCCCTCCCAGCCCACGATTCCCCTGACCCGACTCCCTTTCCCAGAACTCAGTCGCCTGAACCCCCAGCCTGTGGTTCTCTCCTAGGCCTCAGCCTTTCCTGCCTTTGACTGAAACAGCAGTATCTTCTAAGCCCTGGGGGCTTCCCCGGGCCCCAGCCCCGACCTAGAACCCGCCCGCTGCCTGCCACGCTGCCACTGCCGCTTCCTCTATAAAGGGACCTGAGCGTCCGGGCCCAGGGGCTCCGCACAGCAGGTGAGGCTCTCCTGCCCCATCTCCTTGGGCTGCCCGTGCTTCGTGCTTTGGACTACCGCCCCGCAGTGTCCTGCCCTCTGCCTGGGCCTCGGTCCCTCCTGCACCTGCTGCCTGGATCCCCGGCCTGCCTGGGCCTGGGCCTTGGTGGGTTTGGTTTTGGTTTCCTTCTCTGTCTCTGACTCTCCATCTGTCAGTCTCATTGTCTCTGTCACACATTCTCTGTTTCTGCCATGATTCCTCTCTGTTCCCTTCCTGTCTCTCTCTGTCTCCCTCTGCTCACCTTGGGGTTTCTCTGACTGCATCTTGTCCCCTTCTCTGTCGATCTCTCTCTCGGGGGTCGGGGGGTGCTGTCTCCCAGGGCGGGAGGTCTGTCTTCCGCCGCGTGCCCCGCCCCGCTCACTGTCTCTCTCTCTCTCTCTCTCTTTCTCTGCAGGTTCTCCCCATGACACCACCTGAACGTCTCTTCCTCCCAAGGGTGCGTGGCACCACCCTACACCTCCTCCTTCTGGGGCTGCTGCTGGTTCTGCTGCCTGGGGCCCAGGTGAGGCAGCAGGAGAATGGGGGCTGCTGGGGTGGCTCAGCCAAACCTTGAGCCCTAGAGCCCCCCTCAACTCTGTTCTCCCCTAGGGGCTCCCTGGTGTTGGCCTCACACCTTCAGCTGCCCAGACTGCCCGTCAGCACCCCAAGATGCATCTTGCCCACAGCACCCTCAAACCTGCTGCTCACCTCATTGGTAAACATCCACCTGACCTCCCAGACATGTCCCCACCAGCTCTCCTCCTACCCCTGCCTCAGGAACCCAAGCATCCACCCCTCTCCCCCAACTTCCCCCACGCTAAAAAAAACAGAGGGAGCCCACTCCTATGCCTCCCCCTGCCATCCCCCAGGAACTCAGTTGTTCAGTGCCCACTTCCTCAGGGATTGAGACCTCTGATCCAGACCCCTGATCTCCCACCCCCATCCCCTATGGCTCTTCCTAGGAGACCCCAGCAAGCAGAACTCACTGCTCTGGAGAGCAAACACGGACCGTGCCTTCCTCCAGGATGGTTTCTCCTTGAGCAACAATTCTCTCCTGGTCCCCACCAGTGGCATCTACTTCGTCTACTCCCAGGTGGTCTTCTCTGGGAAAGCCTACTCTCCCAAGGCCACCTCCTCCCCACTCTACCTGGCCCATGAGGTCCAGCTCTTCTCCTCCCAGTACCCCTTCCATGTGCCTCTCCTCAGCTCCCAGAAGATGGTGTATCCAGGGCTGCAGGAACCCTGGCTGCACTCGATGTACCACGGGGCTGCGTTCCAGCTCACCCAGGGAGACCAGCTATCCACCCACACAGATGGCATCCCCCACCTAGTCCTCAGCCCTAGTACTGTCTTCTTTGGAGCCTTCGCTCTGTAGAACTTGGAAAAATCCAGAAAGAAAAAATAATTGATTTCAAGACCTTCTCCCCATTCTGCCTCCATTCTGACCATTTCAGGGGTCGTCACCACCTCTCCTTTGGCCATTCCAACAGCTCAAGTCTTCCCTGATCAAGTCACCGGAGCTTTCAAAGAAGGAATTCTAGGCATCCCAGGGGACCACACCTCCCTGAACCATCCCTGATGTCTGTCTGGCTGAGGATTTCAAGCCTGCCTAGGAATTCCCAGCCCAAAGCTGTTGGTCTGTCCCACCAGCTAGGTGGGGCCTAGATCCACACACAGAGGAAGAGCAGGCACATGGAGGAGCTTGGGGGATGACTAGAGGCAGGGAGGGGACTATTTATGAAGGCAAAAAAATTAAATTATTTATTTATGGAGGATGGAGAGAGGGGAATAATAGAAGAACATCCAAGGAGAAACAGAGACAGGCCCAAGAGATGAAGAGTGAGAGGGCATGCGCACAAGGCTGACCAAGAGAGAAAGAAGTAGGCATGAGGGATCACAGGGCCCCAGAAGGCAGGGAAAGGCTCTGAAAGCCAGCTGCCGACCAGAGCCCCACACGGAGGCATCTGCACCCTCGATGAAGCCCAATAAACCTCTTTTCTCTGAAATGCTGTCTGCTTGTGTGTGTGTGTCTGGGAGTGAGAACTTCCCAGTCTATCTAAGGAATGGAGGGAGGGACAGAGGGCTCAAAGGGAGCAAGAGCTGTGGGGAGAACAAAAGGATAAGGGCTCAGAGAGCTTCAGGGATATGTGATGGACTCACCAGGTGAGGCCGCCAGACTGCTGCAGGGGAAGCAAAGGAGAAGCTGAGAAGACGAAGGAAAAGTCAGGGTCTGGAGGGGCGGGGGTCAGGGAGCTCCTGGGAGATATGGCCACATGTAGCGGCTCTGAGGAATGGGTTACAGGAGACCTCTGGGGAGATGTGACCACAGCAATGGGTAGGAGAATGTCCAGGGCTATGGAAGTCGAGTATGGGGACCCCCCCTTAACGAAGACAGGGCCATGTAGAGGGCCCCAGGGAGTGAAAGAGCCTCCAGGACCTCCAGGTATGGAATACAGGGGACGTTTAAGAAGATATGGCCACACACTGGGGCCCTGAGAAGTGAGAGCTTCATGAAAAAAATCAGGGACCCCAGAGTTCCTTGGAAGCCAAGACTGAAACCAGCATTATGAGTCTCCGGGTCAGAATGAAAGAAGAAGGCCTGCCCCAGTGGGGTCTGTGAATTCCCGGGGGTGATTTCACTCCCCGGGGCTGTCCCAGGCTTGTCCCTGCTACCCCCACCCAGCCTTTCCTGAGGCCTCAAGCCTGCCACCAAGCCCCCAGCTCCTTCTCCCCGCAGGGACCCAAACACAGGCCTCAGGACTCAACACAGCTTTTCCCTCCAACCCCGTTTTCTCTCCCTCAAGGACTCAGCTTTCTGAAGCCCCTCCCAGTTCTAGTTCTATCTTTTTCCTGCATCCTGTCTGGAAGTTAGAAGGAAACAGACCACAGACCTGGTCCCCAAAAGAAATGGAGGCAATAGGTTTTGAGGGGCATGGGGACGGGGTTCAGCCTCCAGGGTCCTACACACAAATCAGTCAGTGGCCCAGAAGACCCCCCTCGGAATCAGAGCAGGGAGGATGGGGAGTGTGAGGGGTATCCTTGATGCTTGTGTGTCCCCAACTTTCCAAATCCCCGCCCCCGCGATGGAGAAGAAACCGAGACAGAAGGTGCAGGGCCCACTACCGCTTCCTCCAGATGAGCTCATGGGTTTCTCCACCAAGGAAGTTTTCCGCTGGTTGAATGATTCTTTCCCCGCCCTCCTCTCGCCCCAGGGACATATAAAGGCAGTTGTTGGCACACCCAGCCAGCAGACGCTCCCTCAGCAAGGACAGCAGAGGACCAGCTAAGAGGGAGAGAAGCAACTACAGACCCCCCCTGAAAACAACCCTCAGACGCCACATCCCCTGACAAGCTGCCAGGCAGGTTCTCTTCCTCTCACATACTGACCCACGGCTCCACCCTCTCTCCCCTGGAAAGGACACCATGAGCACTGAAAGCATGATCCGGGACGTGGAGCTGGCCGAGGAGGCGCTCCCCAAGAAGACAGGGGGGCCCCAGGGCTCCAGGCGGTGCTTGTTCCTCAGCCTCTTCTCCTTCCTGATCGTGGCAGGCGCCACCACGCTCTTCTGCCTGCTGCACTTTGGAGTGATCGGCCCCCAGAGGGAAGAGGTGAGTGCCTGGCCAGCCTTCATCCACTCTCCCACCCAAGGGGAAATGGAGACACAAGAGAGGGAGAGAGATGGGATGGGTGAAAGATGTGCGCTGATAGGGAGGGATGGAGAGAAAAAAACGTGGAGAAAGACGGGGATGCAGAAAGAGATGTGGCAAGAGATGGGGAAGAGAGAGAGAGAAAGATGGAGAGACAGGATGTCTGGCACATGGAAGGTGCTCACTAAGTGTGTATGGAGTGAATGAATGAATGAATGAATGAACAAGCAGATATATAAATAAGATATGGAGACAGATGTGGGGTGTGAGAAGAGAGATGGGGGAAGAAACAAGTGATATGAATAAAGATGGTGAGACAGAAAGAGCGGGAAATATGACAGCTAAGGAGAGAGATGGGGGAGATAAGGAGAGAAGAAGATAGGGTGTCTGGCACACAGAAGACACTCAGGGAAAGAGCTGTTGAATGCCTGGAAGGTGAATACACGGATGAATGGAGAGAGAAAACCAGACACCTCAGGGCTAAGAGCGCAGGCCAGACAGGCAGCCAGCTGTTCCTCCTTTAAGGGTGACTCCCTCGATGTTAACCATTCTCCTTCTCCCCAACAGTTCCCCAGGGACCTCTCTCTAATCAGCCCTCTGGCCCAGGCAGTCAGTAAGTGTCTCCAAACCTCTTTCCTAATTCTGGGTTTGGGTTTGGGGGTAGGGTTAGTACCGGTATGGAAGCAGTGGGGGAAATTTAAAGTTTTGGTCTTGGGGGAGGATGGATGGAGGTGAAAGTAGGGGGGTATTTTCTAGGAAGTTTAAGGGTCTCAGCTTTTTCTTTTCTCTCTCCTCTTCAGGATCATCTTCTCGAACCCCGAGTGACAAGCCTGTAGCCCATGTTGTAGGTAAGAGCTCTGAGGATGTGTCTTGGAACTTGGAGGGCTAGGATTTGGGGGTTGAAGCCCGGCTGATGGTAGGCAGAACTTGGAGACAATGTGAGAAGGACTCGCTGAGCTCAAGGGAAGGGTGGAGGAACAGCACAGGCCTTAGTGGGATACTCAGAACGTCATGGCCAGGTGGGATGTGGGATGACAGACAGAGAGGACAGGAACCGGATGTGGGGTGGGCAGAGCTCGAGGGCCAGGATGTGGAGAGTGAACCGACATGGCCACACTGACTCTCCTCTCCCTCTCTCCCTCCCTCCAGCAAACCCTCAAGCTGAGGGGCAGCTCCAGTGGCTGAACCGCCGGGCCAATGCCCTCCTGGCCAATGGCGTGGAGCTGAGAGATAACCAGCTGGTGGTGCCATCAGAGGGCCTGTACCTCATCTACTCCCAGGTCCTCTTCAAGGGCCAAGGCTGCCCCTCCACCCATGTGCTCCTCACCCACACCATCAGCCGCATCGCCGTCTCCTACCAGACCAAGGTCAACCTCCTCTCTGCCATCAAGAGCCCCTGCCAGAGGGAGACCCCAGAGGGGGCTGAGGCCAAGCCCTGGTATGAGCCCATCTATCTGGGAGGGGTCTTCCAGCTGGAGAAGGGTGACCGACTCAGCGCTGAGATCAATCGGCCCGACTATCTCGACTTTGCCGAGTCTGGGCAGGTCTACTTTGGGATCATTGCCCTGTGAGGAGGACGAACATCCAACCTTCCCAAACGCCTCCCCTGCCCCAATCCCTTTATTACCCCCTCCTTCAGACACCCTCAACCTCTTCTGGCTCAAAAAGAGAATTGGGGGCTTAGGGTCGGAACCCAAGCTTAGAACTTTAAGCAACAAGACCACCACTTCGAAACCTGGGATTCAGGAATGTGTGGCCTGCACAGTGAAGTGCTGGCAACCACTAAGAATTCAAACTGGGGCCTCCAGAACTCACTGGGGCCTACAGCTTTGATCCCTGACATCTGGAATCTGGAGACCAGGGAGCCTTTGGTTCTGGCCAGAATGCTGCAGGACTTGAGAAGACCTCACCTAGAAATTGACACAAGTGGACCTTAGGCCTTCCTCTCTCCAGATGTTTCCAGACTTCCTTGAGACACGGAGCCCAGCCCTCCCCATGGAGCCAGCTCCCTCTATTTATGTTTGCACTTGTGATTATTTATTATTTATTTATTATTTATTTATTTACAGATGAATGTATTTATTTGGGAGACCGGGGTATCCTGGGGGACCCAATGTAGGAGCTGCCTTGGCTCAGACATGTTTTCCGTGAAAACGGAGCTGAACAATAGGCTGTTCCCATGTAGCCCCCTGGCCTCTGTGCCTTCTTTTGATTATGTTTTTTAAAATATTTATCTGATTAAGTTGTCTAAACAATGCTGATTTGGTGACCAACTGTCACTCATTGCTGAGCCTCTGCTCCCCAGGGGAGTTGTGTCTGTAATCGCCCTACTATTCAGTGGCGAGAAATAAAGTTTGCTTAGAAAAGAAACATGGTCTCCTTCTTGGAATTAATTCTGCATCTGCCTCTTCTTGTGGGTGGGAAGAAGCTCCCTAAGTCCTCTCTCCACAGGCTTTAAGATCCCTCGGACCCAGTCCCATCCTTAGACTCCTAGGGCCCTGGAGACCCTACATAAACAAAGCCCAACAGAATATTCCCCATCCCCCAGGAAACAAGAGCCTGAACCTAATTACCTCTCCCTCAGGGCATGGGAATTTCCAACTCTGGGAATTCCAATCCTTGCTGGGAAAATCCTGCAGCTCAGGTGAGATTTCCGGCTGTTGCAGCTGGCCAGCAGTCCGGAGAGAGCTGGAGAGGAGCCGCATTCTCAGGTACCTGAATCACACAGCCAAGGGACTTCCAGAGATTCGGCTGTCTAGGCTTCAAATCACCCTGTCCTAACTCTGCAACCTGAACCAGCCACTTAACCTATCTATCCAATGGGGATAGGAATGTCCACCACACATAGGGCATGTGAGAGAAGGCCTGACCTCCATCAGAGGACCTCACTCAGCCCTTGGCACAGTGGGCACTTAGTGAATTCTGGCTTCCTTCAACCAGTTTCCAGCTGTTCTATCCCCTTCCATTCTCTCAGTGGGTGAAATCGAAGAGACTGAGGACAATAAAGAACAAGGAACCGAACTGCCGGACGTGGTGGCATGCACCCGTAATCCTACCACTTTGCAAGGCCAAGGTGAGAGGATCGCTTGAACCCAGGAGTTCCAGAGCAACCTGGGCAACATAGTGAGATCCTGTCTCTATTTTTTAAAAAAGAATGAAACATAGGAATAAGATGTGGGTGAAGGACTCACATGCCGGCTTGGTCCCACTGGTCTTTGTGGTGAAGGAGGGGAGAGGTGAGAGGTGGGTAATCCGGAAAGAGAAAAGCACCCCCTCCCTGGATGAAGGCTCTTCTGGAGAGAGTCAAAGACAAATAAGGGTGGGGCGCAGTGGCTCATGCCTGTTATCCCAACACTTTGGGAGGCTGAGGTAGGAGGACCACTTGAGCCCACTAGTTCAAGACCAGCCTGTGCAACATAGCAAGACCTTGTTTCTAGAAAAAAAATTAAAGATTAGTCAGGTGTAGTGGTGCATGCCTGTAATCCTAGCTCCTCAGGAGGCTGAGGCAGGAGGATCACTCAAGCCCAGGAGTTTGAGGTTACAGTAAGCTATGATCATGCCACTGTACCCCCGTCTGGGTGACAGAACGAGACCCTGTCTCAAAAAAATAATAATTCCAAAAACAAATATGGAGACGGAAATTGAGCCCCCCTAGACTGGGAGCCCCCACTGAGTTCGGAAATTAGGCTTTACCTCCAGCCCTGGGGTGCCAGGCAGGAGAAAACCATGTGGTAGGCTGAGGGGGTAGGGTGACCCATTGGGGTGACCTAGATAGGGCCTTGGGTCACCCTCTGCCTCCTCCAGCCTGTGGCTGAAAGTCAGCCATGAAGTAATGGGGGACACTGTTACTCATCCCAGAAGCACCCACACTTACTCACTTTTGGGAAGGGGGACCTAAAGTGTGAAAAAAAGGTGAGGATTTTCCGTCTCACCCTAAATGGGACACCCTAAGTGGGGCATCGGTTTTTCCTCCTCCCCAGAACTTCCTGGTGTTTTCAGGCACCACAGGCTCCTTCCTGCCATCCCCATCTCTCTCTAATATTCTCCCCTTCTTTCTCCTTCAGCCTCCTCCCTTCAGACCCCATGAGCCTTGAATTAAGCTCCTTGGAGGAGAAGAGTTGACTGTCGGGTAGGAGACAGAGAGGCCTTCAGGCAGCTCTAGGGGGAGAAGTGCGGGGCCCCTCCAGGCTTCATTCCTCTGTCATGATAGGGGCTTACTCTGCTGCTGGGCCTTTCTGAGTGGTGCTTGCTGGGCTCTGTAATGACCCCTCTCACTGTTGGGGGGTACCCAAGAGAAAAGAGTATGGTGCAGAGTCTGGTTGGGACCATGTGGCCCTGAAAATCAGGATGCCTAGAGAAGCTTCGGAGTTTGAGAAGTCCCCCTTCCTCCCACCCTCCAACTGGGCTAATGGTGGGGCCTGGCCATTCAGAGGCAGGGAGGGGGTGGGACAGGCAGACCATCATCCCTAGGAGCAAAGGCCATACACTGTGTTGTGATGAATTGTTTCAAGCAACCAGAAGAGTACTGAGAATATTTAACCCGCACCCGTGCACCCACCCTGAATTAAGACGTGTGTCGCAACTCAGCATCTTTATCGGCAGCACTGAAGCTTTCCATTCTTTATTTTCATCAGGTTCAAAATCAATTTCCAAACAGTCTCCTACATTTTTCCCACTGCCATGGGGTCCTGGGCGTCCGGGCCCCCAATATTCACGCACTCGCACCACGCACTCATATTCCCTCACCCCACCATCACGGCCCCAAAGAAGGTCTTCCCTCTCGCGAAGTCCACCATATCGGGGTGACTGATGTTGACGTACACCCTCTCGCCCCTCCGGAGCTGCACCAGGCCGCCGAACCCCACGCTCGTGTACCAGAGAGGCCCGTACCCTTGTCTCCTGGCCGGGTCCAGCACTGGAGTCACCGTCTCGGCGCCCTCGAGCAGCAGCTCGGGAGTGCCCGGCCCGTAGGCGCCCCCCGCCCGGTACAGAGAGCTGCGCAGCGTGACCGAGCGGCCCTGGGGGTCCCCGCCGCCAGGGGGCGCCCGGCCCCGGTAGCCGACGAGACAGTAGAGGTAATAGAGGCCGTCCTGCGGGAGCGCCAGCCCCTCGGCGTCCGAGAACTGCGTCCCGCTCGTCAGAAACGCCTGTTCCTTCGTCGTCTCCCAGCCTAGCCCCTGCCCCTTCAGCGGAGCGCCTGCGGAGACACGGGCCGACGCGCTCTTGGGAATGCGATCCTAAAGGCTTGGGACTTCTGGGGAAGTGGCGGCTTTTAGCCCCTGCGGGAGCCGAGCCGGGCCGGGGGAGGAGGGATGGTGCTGTTTCTGGGATGAGTGCGAGTTGGGGGCCGAGGGAACACGGATGTGGGGTGCAGAACGCTGTAGTGGGGACCTCCAGGCCGGCTTTTGCTTGCACCGGAGGGAAGAAGAAACTACACTGCGGGGACGAGCGTAAGAGTGGGCACGAGCGACAAAAGGTCGTGAAGCGGGTGGGAAACCGAGCACTGGAATCATGGAGCCGAAGGACTCTGGGCGAGCAGAACTGGAACCTTCGGATTATTTACACTCTTATTCAGGTCTTGGAGGTCCTTACCTATGAGGTGGGCAGCTGGGAGCCCGGGGCTGAGATCTGTTTCTGGCTCCTCCTCTGGCAGCTTCTGAAACCCTGGAAGGGGCAAAGAGTCCACGATTGGGGGCAGGGCAGCCACCCATGCAGGCTACCCTTGAGAGAACAGGGCGCAGGGATGGGGAGCCTGGATTCCTAGAGGAAGAGGTATCTGGGGACGCAGCAGGGAGCTGGGAGCCCCTGAGGGGCTGAAGCGGGGAAGGAGAGACAGTCTGCTCTTACCCAGTCCTTGCTGGGCCTGTGCCCCGGGGTCGGCCGTCTCCGTTACCTGGTTGGGTGGGGTCACAGTGCCCAGAGTTCAGATTCAGCTCATGTCACCCCTACCCCTCTGAAAGTGGACCCAAGCTGCAGGCCTGGGGTTTCTCCTACCAGCACCATCCCCAACACACACCTCCTTAGAAGGGAGAACAAGCAAGGCATAGGTACTTGGGCGGAGAAACAGATGTACCTCGGGAAGAGGAGAGGAGACACAAGGGGCTTATGTCGGGACACAAGCACAACATCACAGGAACATGGAAAGAGAGTCAGCAAAGAGACAAGACATCCCCACCAGGGACAGCCGAGCCAGCTGAGCCAGAGGGGGCAAAAGACCACAGGCACAACCAGAGGGAGCCAAGCATCCGCAAGATACAACTCTCCACCAGGGCCTGTTGCAGCCACTCACCAGTCCTCCCTGATCCTGGGGCACTAAGGCCAGCACAGCCAGGACAGTGATAGGCACCGCCAGCAACAAGGTCACCAGAGAAGTGGCTCCTGCCACAGCTAGCAGGAGGGAACCCCTCCCCTGGAGCCTCCCACCCCTGCCCTCCAGCCCCAGTGCCCCCATTGAGACTGAACCAGAGCCAGAGCAGGGGGCTTTCATACCTCAGGGACGGGCCCACCCCCTCCCTGTAGACCTGCACACCTGGCTGGGACTTTCCGCACACCCCTGCTCCCCTCACCCAGCTTCCTGTTTACCCAGAGCTGGGGTGGGGCAGCTGGATGCCTGGGTTCTCTGAACTGGGGAAGAAGTTGAGGTTAGGGAGACAGGCTCTCAGGGTGGAACCAAAGGGGTCTTTAGACATCTTCTGGCTCAGCAGAGAGAGAAACTGAGGCCCAGGGAGGGAAGGTAGCTTGCAGGAAGCCAGTCAGCAGAGCTGAAATGAGAACACAGATCTCCAGGTTTCCAATGTGGTTTGCATTCTTCTATACCCTCAAGGTAGGTGCTGGAGGAAGAGCTGATCCCGTCTCTGAGGTCAAGGGCCGGACTAGGACAAGGACTGGAATCTTGAGGGATGGATGTCTGGGTTCCCTGAGAAGAACTGATTCCCATACTGGGCTGACCTCCTCCCGTTCCCTTGCTCATCTCCAGCCCCCTGTGCTGAGTGAGAAAGGGAGAGGTAAGCCTTAGCCTCACCACTGACTACTGACTCACTAAGGAGGGATGGAAATGGAGCTTTACCTCCCTTGCTACAAAAAGTAAAGACAGATGGACGAGGCATACTCCCACCCTCAGAGAGCTTCCAAGTCTACAATGAGCCCTATCCATTAGTAGGTGCTTACTAAATGTTTATACATAAATGAATAAAAGGACAAATAAATGCAGGAATAACCAAAACAAAGCAGCAAGGACCACATGAATGGTAGATGTAGGCAGCATGAGTGGTTAAGAGTCAAGGGAGTAGCCGGGGTAGTGGCTTACACCTGTAATCCCAACACTTTGGGAGGCTGAGGCAGGTGGATCACTTGAGGTCAGGAGTTCGAGACCAGCCTGGCCAACATGGTGAAACCCTGTCTCTACTAAAGATACAAAAAGTTAGCCGGGCGTGGTGGCACGCGCCTGTAATTCCAGCTACACAGGAGGCTGAGGCAGGAGAATCACTTAAACCTGGGAGGCAGAGGTTGCAGTGAGCCAAGATTGCACCATTGCACTCCAGCCTGGGCAACAGGCTGAGACTCTCTCTCAAAAAAAAAAAAAAAAAAAAAAAAAAAAAGAGTCAAGGGAAGAAAGACCAGGTCCAAGGAAGCTGGAAGTGGCTCCAATCATCTCCCCTTCTTGGTAACATCTCTATGTGTTTCCGTAATACTAATAATAATATAGCTGACCCACAAAATGCACTTAACATGTTTATGCCACTGATTTACACACTTTAATAATTTTTTTTTTGAGACAGGGTCTCGCTATGTCACCCAGACTGGAATGCAATGGCAGGATCATGGCTCACTGCAGCCTTGACCTCCCAGGATCTATGGATTCACCTACCTCAGCCTCCTGAATAGCTGGGACTATAGGCACATGCCACCATGCCCAGCTAATTTTTGCATTTTTTGTAGAGATGGATTTTTGCCACATTGCCCAGGCTGGGCTCAAACTCCTGGACTCACGTGATCTGCCCGTGTTGGCCTCCTAAAGTGCTGGGATTACAAGCATGAGCCATCATGCCCAGCCAATAATTATAATCCTGACAAAAACCCTAAGAGGAAACTGAGGTACAGAGAGGTTAAGAAACTTATGGAGCTCACAGAGTCAGTGGCAGAACCAGAATTTGAACCCAGGCATCTGGCTCCAGAGCCTTGATAACAAGACAGTTTAAAAACTGAATACTGGGGCTGGGCGCAGTGGCTCTTGCCTATAATACCAGCACTTTGGGAGGCCAAGGAAGGTGGATCATCTGAGGTAAGGAGCTCGAGAGCAGCCTGATCAACATGGTGAAACCCCATCTCTACTAAAAATATAAAAATTAGCGGGGCGTGGTGGTAGGCACCTTTAATTCCAGCTACTTGGGAGGCTGAGGCAGGAGAATCACTTGAACCCAGGAGGCGGAAGTTGCAGTGAGCCGAAATCATGCCATTGCACTCCAGCCTGGGTGACAAGAACAAGACTCTGTCTTAAAAACAAAAACAAACAAACAAAACAGTATTAGGCCAGGCGAGATGGCTCACACCTATAATCCCAGCACTTTAGGAGACCAAGGCAGGTGGATCACTTGAGGTCAAGAGTTTGAGACCAGCCTGGCCAACATGGTGAAACCCCTTCTCCATTAAAAATACAAAAATTAGCTGGATATGGTGGCACAAACCTGTAGTCCCAGCTACTTGGGAGGCTGAGACAGGAGAATCGCTTGTACCCAGAAGGCAGAGGTTGCAGTGAGCCAAGATCACACCACTGGACTCCAGCCTGGGCAACAGAGCAAGACTCCGTCTCAAAAAAAAAAAAGAGTACTGACTTGAGATTTGTATGTAAAATTTGCCTTCCTCAGGCCAGAAAAGAAATGGGGAAATAAATACTGAACTCCAGTCAATGTTAAGCTTCTGAAGGGTTTAGATGTAAAATGTACTGATATTTGTAATTTTAAAAGATATTTAAAAGTGAGATGGATTGATAAATATGTGATAAAGCAAATAAAAAATGTTAATAGAGCCAGGTGCAGTGGCCCACTCCTGTAATTCCAGCACTTTGGAAGGCTAAGGTGGAAAGATTGCTTGAGACCAGGAGTTCAAAACCAGCCTGGGCAACATAGTAAGACCCCATTTCTACAAAGCCTCATGTGGTAGCTGGTGTCTGTAGTCCTAGCTACTCAGAAGGCTAAGGTGGGAGGACCTCTGAGCCCAGGAATTCAAGGCTGCAGTGAGCTATGATTTCACCACTGCACTTCAGGCTGAGTGACAGAGTGAGACCCCATCTCAAAAACAAAACAAAACAAAAAATGTTAATAGTAGCATCTAGGTGGTAAGAATATGTTCACTGTACAATTATTCTCATTTCACCCTATGTTTGCACTTTTTAATAATAAAATGTAAAAAAAAACAAAACAAACAAACAAAAAACCCTGAATATTATTCAGCATAGGGAACATGGAGGATGGGGAGAAGGGTGGGGGAGGAAGTAGAAGGTTCTTGAATTTGGAAGGGGAAACGCAAATTAATATGGACCCACCCAGGCACCACATCTCCTCCTCACCCCTTGCCTTACAGGCGCTCCCCAGTCTTCACCCTCCTCAAGGAGTGGGTGTGCAATCCTCCAGCACCCATCTCCTTCTCCATCACAGTGCCACTAAGAAGCCTTCACCCAGGTCTCTCCAGAGAGCCTCAGGCCGCTGCCTTTACTTAGTTCTGTGTTCAATGCCAGAATGCTGCCTCCTACAGGAAGTCCACCTGTATTGCCCACACCTCCTTTCCTGTCACCAACTTGTCACCAACTTTCTGTCCTTGATCTATCCACAGGGCTCATGTAGATCTAGTATGGCTGCCTTTAACTCTCATGTTTGTTAATCAGACAGCCAAGCAGCCTGCTGCATAGAGCTGCAGAACACCAAGTGGGTCACCAGAACACCAAATATGCCAGAGCTCCCAGTCTGAACTGGAGCAGGGTACATGTGTCCACAGACATATGCCAAGATCAAGAGGTCTCAACAGATGCAGTGTAAGAGGTAATAGAGAAGAGTTAATCAAGGAAGACACCTGAAGGTGGTGGGTGTTTGCTGACTAGTGGCAGGATCAGTGAAATGACTGGAGCTGAGGCAGATTATGGCCCTAGCTACAGGCCCAGAAGTTTGAAAAGAAAGATGTTGTAACCCTAACCCTGGAGCCGAACTTCCTCTCCTAACAATGCTGGGGAGGAACCCAGGCTGGGGGAGAAGTTAAAGCCAGAGGAGGGGCAGGAATGTCTGAGGTGGCAACACTTCTCTTCAGCCAGACAGCACTGGCCAGTTTGGAGTCTGTCCATCCTGCAGGCCACAAGCTCTGGGTAAGCTGGGAATGGGCAGGGACCTTGGTGGAAGGATGGTCACACCCCAGAGTGGGGTGAAGCTAAGATGAGGGGAGGGAGAGTATGGGTTTGAGTTTCCCTGGGCCGTCGAGGAATCCTCTGAGTCTCTGCTCCCCAAAGAAATTAAAGACAATTCATTTCTGTGCCCACGGCCCTTATGGCCTCCACCTGCACTTCTGCTCCCCACCCCCCAGAATTCCTCTTAAACCCAGAAGGGTCCCAGTTTCCAGACCCTAGTCAGTATATCTGGCTCTGGGGTGAAGAGAACGGCCCCCTCTTCACCCTCAAACAGGAACCAGTGGTTGGAGGGGAGGAAGTGCCTGAGGGGAAGTTATGGGGCCCCAGATACTCCTCCATGCCCCACTTCAGCCCTAGCAGCATCTGCCTGTGGGAAGCAGCTCTCCACACCAGCCAAGGGGGCCCCCACACTCCCGCGCTGCTCTGCGGCTCAGGGAGCAGCCCACCTGCTGGGTGTGCTGATATCACCCTCCCTTCTTCCCCCCAGTGCCCACACCCACCCAGGCCCAGGCTCCTTCCCCTCCATCATCCCCTTACCAGCACCTAGAACCATCCAGGGCTGAAAAGTCCCCTCCAAACCACGTGGTCAGCCCAGGGCAGAGGAAAGGGCTGGGCTCTGGAGTTGGGCAGAGCTGGCCTTAAACCCCAGCTCCACCTTTCTGGGATGGGTGACCTAGTAAAGTCCAGGCTTGAATCTCGGGTCTTTACTTGGGCAACGGGCACCATGATACCCTATGTTCTGGGGATTAGCAGTGAGGAATGGAAAGTGCCCAGCTCAGGGTTGGCACATAAGGGAGGCTCCCCAGCCTGGGAACGATTATAACAGAGGGCCCCTCACTTCACAGATGAGGAACTTGAGGCAAGTCACCAGCCCCTGATCATTTCGCCTAAAAGAGCAAGGACTAGAGTTCCTGACCTCCAGGCCAGTCCCTGATCCCTGACCTAATGTTATCGCGGAATGATGGTAAGTAAAGTGTCTCTTGCATCTGCATAGAGAGGGTCCTGGGAGCTTAGGAAGTGATGGGGAACAGTGATGTATGCAGCTCATGACTAGGTGGACAGGCCTCTGGGGACAGCTGGTACAGGAGGGAAAGGGACCTCACGGGAGGCCCAGAAACCTGGTAAGAGGTGAGGTATTAAGGTCTGGGATGGAGAAGCTCTGAGGGTATATTTTTCTGCCTCTAAAACTGTTGGAGAGGGAATCTGAGAAAGCTGCAACCAACCAGGAGGCTGGGGTACGCTGGAGAAGGAATGGGCTTCCTAACCTTGAGCCCTCTTCCCTGAAGATATATGTATCTACGGGGGCCTGGGGCTGGGCGGGCTCCTGCTTCTGGCAGTGGTCCTTCTGTCCGCCTGCCTGTGTTGGCTGCATCGAAGAGGTGAGCGCTGCACTCCCTCCCTCCCCCTGCAGCAGTGCCCCCTGTGCCCCCACCCCCACACGCTTTCCCACTGCTTTCCCAGAACACTGCCTGGCCCTGGAGCCACTGGGAAGCCAACAGGGGAGTCCACGCCTGCTGGTGGGGGGAGCCCGGGAGGGCCCGGGAGAAGCACAAAGGGTGGGCTGTGTTGAGCTTCTTCTTTTCTTCCAGTAAAGAGGCTGGAGAGGAGCTGGGTGAGTCTGGGGACAGGGAAGGGGGAGGGCAAGAGAGATCCTGAGTGGGTGAGTGGGGAGAAGCATGGCTGAGCGCTGAGAGGAGGGTTGGGGACGGGAGACAAGGAGAGAGAAAGTAGGAGCATGAGAGAGGCAGAGAAAATCGAGGCAAAAGAGAAAGAGAAAATGAGACAGAAACCAAGAGAAAAAGTGAGACAGAGGATAGGAGAGACAGGGAGAAAATGAGAGTGAGAGAGACACAAAGAGAAGAGCAATGAAAGAGAGAGAGAGAGAGAGGCTCCAGAACCAGGCACAGTGGCTCACGTCTGTCATTCCAGCTATCGCAAGGCTGAGGCAGGAAGATAGCTTGAGCTCAGGGGTTGAAGACAATCCTGGACAACATAGTGGGACTCTGTCTCCAAAGAAAAAAGAGAAAGAGAGAGAGAGAGAGAGAGAGAGGGAGAGAGAGAGAGAGAGAGGGAGAAAAGTAAGAAAGGCTGGAGGTGGGAGCAGAACTCACAGGGAAGGATCTGACGGCATCGCCTCCCATCAGCACCTTCTGTCCTGGTCCCAGGCCCAGGGCTCCTCAGAGCAGGAACTCCACTATGCATCTCTGCAGAGGCTGCCAGTGCCCAGCAGTGAGGGACCTGACCTCAGGGGCAGAGACAAGAGAGGCACCAAGGAGGATCCAAGAGCTGACTATGCCTGCATTGCTGAGAACAAACCCACCTGAGCACCCCAGACACCTTCCTCAACCCAGGCGGGTGGACAGGGTCCCCCTGTGGTCCAGCCAGTAAAAACCATGGTCCCCCCACTTCTGTGTCTCAGTCCTCTCAGTCCATCTCGAGCCTCCGTTCAAAATGATCATCATCAAAACTTATGTGGCTTTTTGACCTTTGAATAGGGAATTTTTTAAATTTTTTAAAAATTAAAATTAAAAAAACACATGGCTCACCCTTCCACCCACTCTGGGGTCAAATAGTAATTTATTGGGTGAATGACAGTGTTCAGGGACCCAAGCTCCCCTAACAGCCAGAAGAGGGTATGTGTGGGCCTGGCAGGAAAGGGCAGTTGCCAAGGAGGAGTCATATCTGATCCTTCCCATTTCTCAGGACAATCAGGCTCAGCCTCCTGGGACTGGGGGAAGCAGATGTGCTGAGCTCCCACATGGTGGTGGGAGGGGCGCTGGGACCACAGCCGGCAGCTGCCTTCTTGGACCTTTCCAGGTCAGACCTGGTGGAAGGGAAAGTTCAGAGTTGGGGGAATCCGGAGAGAGTAGATTTGGCATCTGGAGAATGGAGAAGAAAACACTTGAGACTCATGAGGAGTTAGTGGTGGGGCAGATTTATTGGGGTCTTTTGAAGAGGACTAGGGACATCTGGGCTCTGGAATCACTCCTCGGGGCCCATCTGAGGAGTGGCAGTGTGTTCCCATGTGACAGTGGCCTGGTCAGAGAGAGGACAGGAGCTGCTCAGTGTTGCAGTCCCGAGGCTCTCCTCTTCCTGGTCTCTGTCCTCCCTCCTCCCACTCTCTTACTGCCCCTCCCATCCCGTCCACTATTGCCCCTGGCTCCATTACTCACATTTGCCCTGGTAATAGACGGTGCTGCCCACGGCCACAGAGAGAAAGCTGACAGCATAGAATCCAGCCCGAAGGAGGAGGACTGTACCAGCCCCTAGCTGAGGATGTTCTGCATGGGGCAATGGAGACGGGGGTTGGGGAAGAAGTGCACACAGGCTCAGGGAGGGAAGGGGCCTCAGAGGAGCATCCCTGCCTCCCAAGGACATTGCCTCTTGGGGCCTCCAGCCAGGAGGAGACACCACCTCCCAGCATCTCACCTTTCTCCACCACCAGCCGAGTCCCATTCCCTGTCCCGACACCAAGGCCCAGCACCTCCACTCTGCACACGTAGATGCTGGCGTCATGGCCTCGCACGTCCCGGATGTGCAGCTCAGCCTGGTGGTCATGGAGGAAACGGGAAGAAGCAAGTGGGGCCAGGCGGCCCCTGAACTCTGGGGTTCCATTCCTCACCTCCTTCCCTGGAACCACCTCATCTCGGAACCACGTGACGGAGCCAATGGCCAGTCTCCCTTGGCTGGCATTGAAGGAGCAGGGCAGGAAGGCAGAGGATCCTTCCAGGGTACGAATCTCAGGGGGCTGGGACACCCAGAGAGCACAGGATCCTGGGGGCAGAAGGAAGACCCAGAGAAACACCTCCCCAGTTATTCCAAAGAGAAAAGACAACAGAGCTTGGAGTAGAACATCCCAGCTTTCTCCAGGCATAGGGTGCATGGGAATAGATACTTTGGGTGCCTCATTAAACCCTTCCCTCTTAACCAATCTGATTTCTTAACATTGCTTATTAAATCATTTTTCGGCTGGGTGCAGTGGCTCACGCCTGTAATCCCAGCACTTTGGGAGGCCGAGGTGGGCGGATCACCAGGTCAGGAGATCGAGACCATCCTGGCCAACATGGTGAAACCCCGTCTCTACTAAAAAAATACAAAAATTAGCCGGGCATGGTGGTGTGCACCTGTAATCCCGGCTACTCGGGAGGCTGAGGCAGGAGAATCGCTTGAACCCGGGAGGCAGAGGTTGCAGTGAGCCAAGATTGCGCCATTGCACTCCAGCCTGGGCGACAAAGCAAGACTCCATCTCAAAAAATAAAAAATAAAAATCATTTTTCAAATTCTTCCTATACCAACTCTCACTCTCACCCTCTGCCATCATTCTCCAGCCAGTTCAGTAGTAACTTGTCTAGCTGAAATGTAAACCATCATGGTGAAATTAAGCTCATTAATGAATGCAGCTGCCTAGTTAACTAATATCACTCATTATATTATCCAGGTATTATTTTAGTACAAATGGCATTGTACAGTAAGCCATCCTTCCTCTTTTTCTTTTTTCTTTTTTTGAGATGGGGTCTTGCTCTGTTGCCCAGGCTGGAATGCAGTGGTGCAATCTTGGCTCACTGCAAACTCCGTCCCCTGGGTTCAAGCGATCCTGGTGCCTCAGCCTCCCAAGTAGCTGGGACTACAGGCACCCACCACCACGACTGGCTAATTTTTGTATTTTCAGTCGAGACAGGGTTTCACCATCTGGTCTCAAACTCCTGACCTCAAGTGATCCACCCACCTCGGACCAGGCTGGTCTCAAACTCCTGATCTCAAGTGATCCACCTGCCTCGGCCTCCCAAAGTGCACCCAGCCACTCTTGGTTTTCGTTAAAGAAAGTAACTAATTAAATCTCCAGGTGAAGACGTGGCCTTAATTGGTTGAGATTCCTATTTAACCCGTCCATGTTGATGAATTAAACCAAATATTAAAATCCCTGATTAAATTATCTACTTAGGGAAATTTACAAGTCATTCTATTTCAGTGGTTCTCAAACTTGAGTGTGTATGGAAATTACCTGGAGCATCTGCTAGAACAGATTCCTGGGCCTACCCCCCGAGTTTTTGACTCAGTAGGTCTGGAGTGGGGCCTAAGAATTTGTTCTAGGTTCCCAGAAATCCACATTTTGAGAACTCCTGCATTTAGTTAATAATATGCCTGATAGTTAAGGTCTCTCAGTTCATTAAAAACAGTTTCGGCCGGGTGCAGTGGCTCACGCCTATAATCCCAACACTTTGGGAGGCCAAGGCGAGTGGATCACCTGAGGTCAGGAGTTTGAGACCAGCCTGGCCAACATGGTGAAACCTCGTCTCTACTAAAAATACACAAGTTAGCCAGCAGTAATGGCATGCACCTGTAATCCTAGCTACTTGGGAGGCTGAGACAGGAGAATCATTTTTACCCAGGAGGTGGAGGCTGCAGTGAGCTGAGATACCGCCACTGTACTCTAGACTGGACAACAGAATGAAACTGTCTCAAAAAAAAAGTTTCACCACCAGGCGGGCGCAGTGGCTCATGCCTATAATTCCAGTAATTTGGGAGACCGAGGCAGGCAGATCACTTGAGATCAGGAGTTTGAGACCAACCTGGCCAACATAGCAAAACCCCATCTCTACTAAAAATACAAAAATGGCTGGGCGCAGTGGCTCAGGCCTGTAATCCCCGCACTTTAGGAGGCCGAGGCAGGCAGATCACCTGAGGTCAGGAGTTCAAGACCAGCCCGGCCAACATGGTAAAACCCTGTCTCTACTAAAAATACAAAAATTAGTTGGGTGTGGTGGTGCGCGCTTGTAATCCCAGCTACCTAGGAGGCTGAGGCAGGAGAATTGCTTGAATCTAGGAGGCAGAGGTTGCAGTGAGCCAAGATCATGCCACTGCACTCCAGCCTAGGTGACAGAGCAAGACTCCGTCTCAAAAAAAAAAAAAATTAGCCAGGTGTGGTCGTGCGTGCGTGTAGTCCCAGCTACTCAGGAGGCTGAGGCAGGAGAATCACCTGAACATGGGAGGCAGAGGTTGCAGTGAGCCAAAATCGCACCACGGCACTCCAGCCAGGCGACAGAGCGAGACTCAGTCTCAAAAAAAAAAAAAAAAAAGTTTCACCAAGAAATTTATCATAGATTTACTTGGATCTCTCAAACTAAAAAGCCTCACAGTGGGTGACACAGAGAGACTGTGAATTGGGGGAGTCCACTGAGTGTCACCTTTGGAGCAGTCCCACTCCTCCCTCAGAGCCGTGTGTTTCAGCCCCCACCAAGCCCGTTCCCTATAGCATCTAGTCCAGCCTCCTGGATCTCCCTCCTCCCACCCACACTCCTTGGGGTCCTGAGCGCACGCCCTGTCACCTGGATGGACCATGATCAAGATGAGCAACAGCATCCAGGCCATGTCGGAAGATGTCCCAGTTGGCGAAGGGGATCTGAGCAGTGAGGTCTGGGTGGAGGAGGAAGGACTCACTACTTGTAGCCAGGCCTTTGGTCACCAGATGGGGATGGGGAGCTTCCTATGACACACGGGACTCACACATCACTTGCCAAGGACCACAACTGCCAGGGACCTCGAGCATCAAATGCTTGCCTCCCTGAGGAGAGAGGACAGATGCTGCTGGAGGAGATGTCAGGGTCTCTAGGAGGCCAAGGGGCCAGCTTGTGGCAGGCTAGCTAAGCGTGTGAGGGGGAGGGTGGGGCTTAGATGGCTGCTAACCCAAGGGTGAGTGGGCGGTTGGGCGGGTGAGACCAGGATGTGGGTTCCCCCACCTTCCGAGGTTCAAGGAGACCAGCTTTTACCCAGAACAAGCCTCCAGGAGCCCTCCTTGGCCCAGAAGCTAACCTACTTACCCTCCCTGCTGCTCACCAGTACCCAGACCCATCCCACCCATTCCCTTCCTGGAATCTGGCCTCACTGCACCCCAGGGCTACTCCAAGATTTCTATGAGGGATTAGGAGAAGCAAGCTGATTGGTGAAGCTATATTTAATTTGCATAGCAATCACCTTGTGTGTGTGTGTGTGTGTGTGTGTGTGTGTGTGTGTGTGTGTGTGTGTGTGTGTGTGTTTGGTTGGGTTTTTTTGTTTTTTGTTTTTTTTTTGAGCTGGAGTCTCACTCTGTCGCCCAGGCTGGAATGCAGTGGCACAATCTCGGCTCACTGCAACCTCTGCCTCCTGGGTTCAAGCAATTCTCTTGCCTCAGCCTCCCAAGTAGCTGGGATTACAGGCGCACATCACCAAGCCCAGCTAAATTTTGTATTTTTAGTAGAGACAGGGTTTTACCATGTTGGCCAGGCTGGTCTCCAACTCCTGATCTCAAGTGATCCACCAGCCTCGCCCTCCCAAAGTGCTGGGATTCCTGTTTTGGTTTTTTGAGACAGGGTCTGGCTCTGTCTCACCCAGGCTGGAGTTCAGTGGCGCCATCACGGCTCACTGCAGCCTCAACCTCCAGGGCTCAGTTGATCCTCCCACTTCAGTCTCCTGAGTAGCTGGGACTGCAGGCGCACACCACCACACCAGGCTAATTTTTGTATTTTTTGTAGAGATGGGGTCTCCCTGTGTTGCCCAGGCCGGTATCCAACTCCTGGGCTCAAACAATCCATCCACTTAGGCCTCCCAAAGTGCATGAGTCACCATGCCTGGCGAAATGTATTTCTTAAATAATGAGACTTGAAAGTCTAAATTACTCCTTAAACCATGGACTACAGGATGGATGTTATGTTAGCAGGCAGGAAAACAACATTCAGCTGGGCGTGGTGGCTCATGCCTGTAATCCCAGCACTTTGGGAGGCTGAGGTGGGAGGATCACCTGAGGTCAGGAGTCCGAGACCAGTCTGATCAACATAGAGAAACCCCGTCTCTACTAAAAATACAAAATTAGCCGGGTGTGGTGGGGCGCACCTGTAATCCCAGCTACTCGGGAGGCTGAGGCAGGAGAATCACTTGAACCCAGGAGGCGGAAGTTGCAGTGAGCTGATATCGCACCATTGCACTCCAGCCTGGGCAACAAGAGCGAAATTCCGTCTCAAAAAAAAAAAAAAAGAAAAAGAAAACAACATTCGTCTCTTTGGACATCTCCATCAGAGCTCTTGGATAACTATGTACATTGTCAATGAGCAGTAATCATTTTAAAGAAATCTTGTTTTTCGGAGCAGTAGACCTCAACAGTAGGCTTAAAATATTCAGTAAACCAGCGGGGCATAGTGGCTTACACTTGTAATCCCAGCACTTTGGGAGGCCAAGGTGAGAGGACGGCTTGAGGCCAGGGGTTTGAGACCAGCCTGGGCAACATGGCAAGACCCTGTCTCTACAAAAAAATTTAAACTTAGCTGGACATAGTGGCACACACCTATAGTACCAGCTACTCAGGAAGTTGAGGAAGGAGGATTCCTTGAGCCCAGGAGTTTCAAGGATGCAGTGAGCTATGATTTTGCCACTGCATTTCAGCCTGAGCAATGGAGGGAGACCTTGTCTCTAAATAAAATACAATTTAAATTGGGAATAGTAGTAAATGGAGTTTAAAAAAAAATAATTTTGGCTAGGTATGGTGGGTCACACCTGTAATCCCAGTACTTTGGGAAGCCCAGGAGGGCAGATCACTTGAGTTAAAGAGTTGGAGGCCAGGCCAGGCATGGTGGCTCATGCCTGTAATCCCAGCACTTTGGGAGGCTGAGGCGGGCGGATCACGAGTTCAGGAGATCGAGACCATCCTGGCTAACACGGTGAAACCCCATCTCTACTAAAAATACAAAAAATTAGCTGGGTGTGGTGGCATCTGCCTGTAGTCCCAGCTACTCAGGAGGCTGAGGCAGGAGAATCACTTGAACCTTGGAGGCAGAGGTTGCAGTTAGCCGAGATTGCGCCACTGCACTCCAGCCTGGGTGACAGAGCAAGACTTTGTCTCAAAAAAAAAAAAAAAAAAAAAAGAGTTGGAGATCAGCCTGGACAACCTGACGAAACCCTATCTCTACAAAAAATACAAAAATTAGCTGAGCATAGTGGCTCATGTCTGTGGTCCCAACTACTCAGGAGGCTGAGGTAGGAGGATCATTTGACTCTGGAAGGCAGAGGTTTCAATGAGTTGAGATCATGCTGCTGTACTACAGCCTGGGCAACATATTGAGACCGTGTCTCAAAAACAAACAAACAAACAAAAAAAAGAAAAATTTTAAAATCAGTAAACCACGTTGTAAACAGATGTACTATCATCTAGGCTTTTATTTATTTATTTATTTATTTATATATTTTTTTGAGATGGAGTCTTGCTCTGTCACCCAGGCTGGAGTGCAGTGGTGCAATTTTAGCTCACTGCAACCTCCGCCCTCTGGGTTCAAGTGATTCTCCTGCCTCAGCCTCCCTAGTATCTGGGATTACAGGTGACTGCCACCACACCCGGCTAATTTTTGTATTTTTAGTAGAGACAGGGTTTGACCATCTTGGCCAGGCTGGTCTTGAACTCCTGACCTCAGGTGATCCGCCCACCTCAGCTTCCCAAAGTGCTGGGATTATAGGCATGAGCCACCACATCCAGCCATCTAGGCTTTATTGTTCCATTTACACAGCGTGGCAGAGTAAATTTAGCTAATTCTTGCCAAGTGCAGTGGTATGTGCCTATGTCTCTGCTACTCAGAAGGCTGAGGTGGAAGGATCACTTGAGGACAGAAGTTCAAGACTGCAGTATGCTACGATTTTGCTTGTGAAAGCCATGGCTCCATGGCACTCCAGCCTGGGCAACAGAGCAAGACCTTCTCTCTCTCTCTCTCTTTTTGAGACAAGGTCTCACTCTGTTGCCTAGGCTAGAGTGCAGTGGCACAATCACGGCTCACTGCAGCTTCAACCTCATGGGCTCACACCATCTTCCCACCTCAGCCTCCTGAGTAGCTGCCACACACCACCATGCCTAGATAATTTTTGTATTTTTTGTAGAGACAGGGTCTTACCATGTTGTCCAGGCTGGTCTCAAACTCCTGGGCTCAAGTGATTTGCCCACTCGACCTCTCAAAGTACTGGGATTACAAGCATGAGCCACTGCGCTTGGCCAACCTCAGCTCTACAAAAAAGAAAAAAAAAGTCCAGGCGCAGTGGCTGACTCCTGTCATCCCAGCACTTTGGGAGGCCAAGGAGGGCAGATCACTTGAGGTCGTTAGTTCAAGACCAACCTGACCAACATGGAGAAACCCCGTCTCTACTAAAAATACAAAATTAGTCGGGCGTGGTGGCGCATGCCGGTAATCCCAGCTACTCGGGAGGCGGAGGCAGGAGAATCACTGGGAGACGGAGGTAGTGGTGAACTGGGATCGTGCCATTGTACTCCAGCTTGGGCAACAAGAACAAAACTCTGCCTAAATAAATAAATAGATAAAATTAGCCAGGTGTGCTGGTGTGTTCCAGTAGTCTTAGCTACTTGGGAGGCTGAAGCAGGAGAATCACTTGAGCCCAGGATTTCGAGGCTGCAGTGAGCTATGATCTTGCCACTGCACTCCAGCCTGAATGACAGGGTGAGACCCTGTCTCAAAAAAAAAAAATCACTACTGACAGATCATAACAGATAAAATAATCAAGAAAAAGTTTGAAATATTGCAAGAATTACCAAAATGTGCCACTGAGACACAAAGTGAGCACAGGCTATTGGAAAAGTGGCACCTACAGACTTGCTCAACACAGGGTTGCCACAAACTTCAATATATAAAAAAATGCACATCTGTGGAACACAATAAAACAAGGTAATACCTTTACAGGGATTGGTACAAGAGTATGCCAGACACTCTTGTATGTGTATCACACAGCTACAGGAGATAATACAGCACATAGAAGTGAAGGATGACATGTAATATGCCATGTGTCCACCCCTTACCGCATGCCCCCTTCTGGCTCCTTTTACTATTACATTTTTTAGAGACAAGGGTCTCACTCTATCACTCAAGCAGGAATACAGTGGTGTGATCATTGCTCACTGCAGCCTCGATCTCCTGGACTCAAGCAATCCTCCTGCCTCAGCCTCCCAAGTAGCTTGGAATACTGGTATGTGCCATCACACCTGACTTTTTACTTTTATTTATTTTTGAAAGACAGCATCTTGCTATGTTGTCCAGGTCTCAAACTCCTGGTCTGGCTCCTTTTATTTATTTTATTTATTTATTTATTTTGAGATGGAGTCTTGTTCTTGTTGCCCAGGCTGGAGTGCAATGGCTCAATCTCAGCTCACTGCAACCTCTGCCTCCCGGGTTCAAGCGATTCTCCTGCCTCCGCCTCCCGAGTAGCTGGGAGTACAGACGTGCGCCACCACACCCAGCTAATTTTTGTATTTTTAGTAGAGACTGAGTTTCACCATGTTGGCCAGGCTGGTCTCAAACTCCTGACCTTGTGATCCGCCCGCCTTGGCCTCCCAAAGTGCTGGGATTACAGGCGTGAGCCACCGCGCCCAGCCTGGCTCATTTTATATGAATACATGTTGTTGTTGTTGCTGTTGTTGTTGTGAGACAGTCTCGTTCAGTCGCCCAGGCTGGAGTGCAGTGGCACAATCTTGGCTCATTGCAACCTCTGCTTCCCAGGCTCAAGCGATTCACGTGCCTCAGCCTCCCGAGTATCTGGGTTCACAGGCGTGTGCCACCACACTCGGCTAATTTTTGTGTTTTTAGTACTGACGGAGTTTTGCCATGTTGGCCAGGCTGGTCTTAAACACCTGGCCTTAAGTGATCCACCCGCCTTGGCCTCCCAAAGTGCTGGGATTACAGGTGTGAGCCACCACACCTGACCTAATATATGTTTTTTCCTTTGTATCTGTGTTTCTAGCTCTGTGTCACAGTACTTTTGTAGACTGTCCAGTTCCCACCCATCACTGAAGTAATTCAGAGCTTTCTTTTGGAGAAGCAGTCATCTCATGGTTAAGAATGCTGGTTTGGAATGAGTCTAGGTTCAAATGTCAGCTCCCCCGCAATCCCCACAATTATGTTATACAACCTTTTTTTTTTTTGAGACAGGGTCTCACTCTGTCAACCATTCTGGAGTGCAGCGGTGTGATCATATATATGATCATAGCTCCCCGTGGCCTTGAACTTTGAACTCCTGAGCTCAAGTGACCCTCCCACGTCAGCCTCCAGAGTATTTGGGACTACAGACACACATCATCACGTTTGGCTCACTTATTTTTATTTTTTGTACAGACAGAGTCTCACCGTGTTGCCCAGGCTGATCTAAAACTCCTGGCCTAAAGCAATCCTCCCACTTCGGCCTCCCAAAGTGCTGGGATTACAGGTGTGAGCCACTGTGCCCAGTCTAATCTTGAACAAATTATTTTACCTCCCTAAGCTACCGGAACAACCACACATGCCACACAACCTGGGAAGGACCAACTCAGCCATTCTCCAGCAGCGAAGTGGCTGCCACCCCAGGGATATCTAACTAGAGGATGTGGGATGGAGGCGTCATGGCAAGGCAAGGCCTGCCCCCTGGTGGTCAGAGAGCATGGGAGGCCCGAGCTACCAATGGTGGCTTTTCTCAACTGGGCCTTGATTCCAGCTTCTGCCCGATCCCCTACCTTGCTTGCCTCCTTCTATCAACACCCCATTCACACCCCAAAGGATCAATATAGGAAAAATTGTCTCTACTATCTCAGCTGTAAGAAGCCCACGGTTTGGGGAGGGAGAAGAGGTCACCACCAGTGGGGACGTGGAATAAGTAACTGGCTGGGGATAAAACTCCACTCTTCCGGCCGGGAGCAGTGGCCCACGCCTGTAATCCCAGCACTTTGGGTGGCCGAGGTGGGCAGATCACCTGAGGTCGGGAGTTCGAGACCAGTCTGGCCAACATGGTGAATCCCCATCTCTACTAAAAATACAAAACTTAGCCAGACGTGGTGGTGCGTGCCTGTAATCCCAGCTACTTGGGTGGCTGAGGCACGAGAATCACTTGAATCCAGGAGGCGGAGGTTGCAGTGAGCCAACATTGTGCCACTGCACTCCAGCCTGGGCAACGAGCAAAACTCCGTCTCAAAAAAAAAAAAAACAAACTCCACTCTTCCACAGTGTACACTCAATCACATGGTTCTACTCCACGTCCCAAGGCAATGTGGCTTAGAAGACAAATCAGCCTAGGTTGGAGTCCTGGTGCCACTACTGTAAACTGGGGGTACCACCTGTAAACTTCCAGACCCCATTGCCCTAGGTGTTCAATGTGTGGTTCTTCTCCAGTGCTTCCCCCGTCCTGTGCAAGGGTGGCAGTGCCATTGCTACACCTGGACTCAAGGGCATCCTGCTCTCCCAGCTCTTTTCTATATCTAAGACTTCTAAACATTTGTCATAGCTAAAAATGTTCCAGATTCCAAAGACAGTATGTGGGTTTTTTTTTTCAGTCCATCTAGAATAAATCCTGATATGTGTGTACATTCAAGGGACCCCTTTTAATAACTCTGAGAACCTCTAGGGAAGGCTAACCTGCAAGACAGGAACTGCTGCGCTAATCAGCACAGTGGGCACAAGAATGGAACTTTTTTTTTCTTTTTTTTTTCTTGAGACAGAGTCTTGTTCTGTTACCCAGGCTAGAGTGCAGTGGTGCGATCTCGGCTCACTGCAACCTCCGCCTCCCGGGTTCAAGAGATTCTCCTGCCTCAGCCTCCTGAGTAGCCAGGATTACAGGCACCCACTACCATGCCCAGCTAATTTTCATATTTTTAGTAGAGACGGGGTTTCACTATCTTGGCCAGGCTGGTCTTGAACTCCTGACCTCGTGATCCACCCACGTCGGCCTCCCAAAGTGCTGGGATTACAGGCGTGAGCCACTGCATCCATCCTGGCCAAGGATGGAACTTTTCTAAAGAAATTATTCCCAGGCACTCAAGAGGAAAGGCAACAAATAAAACAGTGTTGAAGTGGATGTGCACTGGTCTCTGTTTTTGTGTGTGTTTTTTTTGTTTTTTTTTTTTTTGAGAGGGAGTCTCGCTCTGTCGCCCAGGCTGGAGTGCAGTGGTGTGATTTCCGCTCACTGCAACCTCTGCCTCCCGGGTTCAAGCGATTCTCCTGCCTCAGCCTCCCAAGTAGCTGGGACTACAGCGCCTGTCACCATGCCTGGCTAACTTTTTTGTATTTTTACTAGAGACAGGGTTTCACCATGTTGGCCAGGCTGGTTTTGAACTCCTGACCTCAAGTGATCCACCTGCTTCAGCCTCCCAAAGTGCTAGGATTACAGGCGTGAGCCGCCGCACCCAGTCTCTGGTCTGACTTCTTTAACAACAAGCTGTGGGCTGGCTGGATGTAGTTGAGGCCAATAAACTCCCAACTCAGACCATGAAAACAGGTGAAAACACAAAAGTCCACAATCCAGCACAGGTGATCTCATCTTTCCCCCACCCCCACCAGGGTTCCTCTACGTGCTGGCAGGGGTGAGATTGGGTGACTTCTCTGGCCAAGTCTTATCAATATTTTTCAACTAATGAATGGCTCCCAGGTGATGATACTTTCAGCTTCTGAGAACAGCTTCTCCTCTGAGGCTCATAGCATCTGACCTCACGACCTTCAATCTCTCCTTGGTGTCGTCCACTCGCCCTCACATTCATCAAGAGCCCATCCCTGACTCTGCAGCCTCTTCTCTATTTATTTTTTCTTTCTTTTTTCTTTTTTCTTTTTTTTTTTTGAGACAGAGTTTTGCTGTTGTTGCTGGAGTGCAATGGCGTGATCTTGGTTCACCGCAACCTCTGCCTCCCAGGTTCAAGCGATTCTCCTGCCCCAGCCTCCAGAGTAGCTGGGATTACAGGCACCTGCCACCATGCCAGGCTAATTTTTGTATTTTTAGTAGAGAAAAGGTTTCACCATGTTAGCCAGGCTGGTCTCGAACTCCAGACCTTGTGATCCGCCCACCTCGGCCTCCCAAAGTGCTGGGATTATAGGCGTGAGCCACCATGCCCAGCCCACTTCCTCTCTATTTCAACCTCTGCCAACTCCTTAATGGACTTAATGTCCATATGAATGACTTTTTTTTTTTTTTTTTTTTGAGAGAGAGTCTTGCTCTGTCACCCAGGCTGGAGTGCAGTGGCGTGATCTCGGCTCCCTGCAAGCTCCACCTCCTGGGTTCACGCCATTCTCCTGCCTCAGCCTCCCTAGTAGCTGGGACTACAGGCACCAGCCACCATACCTGGCTAATTTTTTTGTATTTTTTAGTAGAGACAGGGTTTCACCATGTTAGCCAGGATGGTCTCAATCTCCTGACCTCGTGATCCACCTGCCTCGGCCTCCCAAAGTGCTGGGATTACAGGCGTGAGCCACCGTGCCCAGCCATAAATGACATTTTTAAACATTGATATATAATTTCATACAGTAAAATGCACAGATCTTAATGTACAGTTTGATGACCTTTGGCCAATATGTACACCCATGCAACCACACTGTAATAGAGATATAGATAATTCTCATTATCCTGGAAAATTCCTCCATGCCCCTTTTTAGTAAATCCCTTTCCCCTCCTAGATGCAACCATTTTACCATTTTTAACCTCTGTAGACTTTTTTCTTGGGACAGAGTCTTGCTCTGTTACCCAGGTTGGAATGCAGTAGTGCAATTATAGTTCACTGCTGCCTTGACCTCCTGGGCTCAAGCCATCCTCCCACCTCAGTCTCCTGAGTAGCTACGACTACAGGCATATGCCACCGCACCCAGCTAATTTTTTAACAGTTTTTTTGTAGGCTGGGTGCAGTGGTTTAGGCCTATAATCCTAGCACTTTGGGAGGCCGAGGCAGGGGGATCACAAGGTCAGGAGCTCAAGACCATGCTGGCTAACACAGTGAAACCCCGTCTCTACTAAAAATACAAAAAAAAAAAAAAAAATTAGCCGGGCGTGGTGGCACATGCCTATAGTCCCAGCTACTCGGGAGGCTGAGGCAGGAGAATTGCTTGAACCTGGGAGGCAGAGGTTGCAGTGAGCCGAGATCGCGTCATTGCACTCCAGCCCGGGTGACAGAGCAAGACTCTGTCTCAAAAAAAAAAAAAAAATTTTTTTTTGTAGAGACGAGGTCCTTCTATGTTGCCCAGACTGGATTCTAACTCCTGGGCTCAAGTGATCCTCCTGCCTTGACCTCTCTAAGTGTTGGGATTACAGGCCTGAGCCACTGCGCTCGGCCTCTATAGATTAGTCTGTTCTTGAACATCATATTAATGGAGTCATATAGTACATACTCTTGTATCTGGCTCCTTTCATTCTGCTTAATGTCTGTGAGATTCGCCCACGCTGTTGTATGTATCAGTGTTTCATTCCTTTTTTTTGCTGAGTGGTAATCCTTTATATGATGTAGCACAGCTTGTTGATCTATTCACCTGATGAAGTACAATTGGGTTGTTTCTATTTTTTGTTTTTCTTATTATGGCTCAATCTGCTATGAAACTTCTTGTACCCATCTCGCAAATGCCTTTTCAATACCCTAAGTGTGCAACTTCACAGTTATTTCACCTTGTCCACTCCAATCATCACCTTGACTCTCCATGACCTACATCTCAGATCCTGTCACCATGGAAGCTGTTTCACTTTGAAATCTCACCTCCTCTTTCCCAAGGACATAAAAGCCATCCAACCTGAGTCCCCCAGACTCCTGTACCCTAAACGTGTGCTTTTATACCACTGTCCTGTTGGAAAATTTTTGGGTTGTTTCTCCCACTTTTTTTTTTTTTTTTTTTGAGACAGAATTTTGCTCTTGTTGCCCAGGCTGGAGTGCAATGGTGCGATCTCGGCTCACTGCAACCTCCGCCTCCTGCGTTCAAGTGATTCTTCTGCCTTAGCCTCCCAAGTAGCTGGGATTACAGGCATGTGCCACCACACCCAGCTAATTTTGTATTTTTGGTAGAGATGGGGTTTCACCATGTCGGTCAGGCTGGTCTCGAACTCCTGACCTCAAGTGATCCGCCTGCCTCGGCCTCCCAAAGTGCTGGGATTATAGGCATGAGCTAGCACCCCTGGCCCCACTTTCTTTTTAAAAAGTGTTATTATATATTTTTTATTATATATATTTTTGAGATGAGATCTCACTATGTTGCCCAGGCTAGTCTCAAAGTCCTGACTCCGGGCTTTAGGTGTTCCTCCGACCTCAGCCTTTCACGTAGCTGGGATTATAGGCATGCACCTGGCTTCCCACTTTCATTCAATAAATTTTGCGCATCTACCATGGCTTTCCTAGGCAATCCTGTCATAGCCACAGTTGTCACTACTGCTTATTCTCTGTCAAGTCCCCAATCTACATCTCCCCCTCAGGCCTCTTTCTTGAGACCTAAGTCCACACTATCTAACTGCTCTCTAGGCGGCTTACCCTGAATACTCCACAGGCATTTCAAAGTCATCAGTGTCCACTCAGACCAGGTCAGCCTCCTGTCATCCCTGTCCCAGTGAATGGAAACACAAAGCCCCAGTCACTTAAGGCAAACACCTGGGATTCATCCTACTCTGCCTTCTCCCTCAGTTCCCCCATCCAAAAGATCTCCAGGCCCTGTCCATTTTGCTTCTGAAAGATCGCAGGTGTCTTTCCCTTGCTCTTCATTCCACTGGTTGCTAAATCCCTCATCAACTCAAGGGGAAACGAGCAGAGTTGCTTCTCTGATGGGTAGTGTGGTTTCTGCACAGCATCCCCTTCATCCCACCACTGCTGGGCATTGAGGTTCATTCATCTATTCAGCATTGCTCTTCACGAGGGCCTTCCATGGGCCAGACACCCTATCTTCATCTCTCTTAATCGCTCTTTTCAGTATCTCTCTCCTTATCTCTCATATTTCCCACAGCTCTGTCCACAACTCTTTCTGTCTCACCATGTTATTCATATTACTTGTTTCTTCCCCCGTGTCCACTCAAACGCCACATCTCTACACACCCCTACCCCTCTGCCTCTCTGTCACATGCATACACACTTCTGCTTATTCACTCATTCAACAAATATTCAGCGAGCACCTTCCACGTGAGACATTCTATTTTTTTTCTTTTTTTTTTTTTGCGCTCTCAGCTCACTGTAACCTCCACCTCCCAGGTTCAAATGATTCTCCTGCCCCAGCCTCCAGAGTAGCTGGGATTACAGGCACATGCCACCACCCCTGGCTAATTTTTGTATTTTTAGTAGAGATGGGGTTTTGCCATGTTGGCCAGGCTGGTCTTGAACTCCTGGCCTCAAGTGATCCACCTGCCTCAGCCTCCCAAAGTGCTGGGATTACAGGTGTGAGCTGCCGTGTCTGGTCTGCCTCTCCGTCTTTCTCTCTCTCTGTCTTCCTCCATCTCTCTTCGCATCGCTTTCTGCCTCCCCATCATTCTCCATGTTTTCCCTTCCCATCTCTCCCCATCTACATACCTTATTCTTTTACTCCATTTCTCTTCCTTCCCCATTTCTCTCTGGGTGAGAGAATGAAGGAAGGCTAGTGACTAGTCACCTCTTCCCTCTAGGGGCCAGAGTTCAGGCCTGCCTCAGCTCTGCCAGGCTGGTTGGCACTACTCTTGTTTGCCCTTGGAGTCTCTGCACAAGGATGCTTAAAAAAAAAAGTTTAGGCCAGGCACAGTGGCTACCGCTTGTAATCCCAACACTTTGGGAGGCCAAGGAGGGTGGATCACGAGGTCAGGAGTTCGAGACCAGCCTGACCAATATGGTGAAACTCCGTCTCTACTAAAAATACAAAAAGTAGCCAGGCGTGGTAGCATGCACCTGTAATCCCAGCTACTCAAGAGAAGAATCGCTTGAACCCAGGAGGCAGAGGTTGCAGTGGGCCAAAATCACGCCACTGCACTCCAGTCTGGGCGACAGAGTGAGACTCCATCTCAAAAAAAAAAAAAAATTTGTGCAGCAGCGACAGAAAAGTAACCTACAATATTAGAGGAAGACTCACATCTCCCAGAAACTATATATTAAGCAGGCAAAAAAATTATTAAAGACAACGGGTGCGGTGGCTCATGCCTGTAATCGCAGCACTTTGGGAGGCTGAGGAGGGTGGATCACGAGGTCAGGAGGTCAAGGCTATCCTGGCTAACACGGTGAAGCCCCATCTCTACTGAAAATACAAAAAATTAGCCAGGCGTGGTGGCATGCATCTGTAGTCCCAGCTACTAGGGAGGCTGAGGCAGGAGAATCGCTTGAACCTGGGAGGTGGAGGTTGCACTGAGCTGACATCACTTCACTGCACTCCAGCCTGGGTGACAGAGCGAGACTCCATCCCAAAAACAAAACAAAACAAACAAAACACACGCACACACAAAGGTGGGAGTGTTATGTAAGAGAACTGCAGGGGATATTTCCACTCCCAGGCTCAAAGGGGTGAGGGGAGAGAGAGGTTACAGCAGTGGTTCTTAGTTATTTTGTGCCACAGATCCCTTTGGCATTCTAGTAAAGCATAAAATTTAAAAAATATACATACAAAAACAAATCGGCCAGGCGCAGTGGCTCACGCCTGTAATCCCAACACTTTGGGAGGCCGAGGCAGGTGGATCACCCGAGGTCAGGAGTTCGAGAGCAGCCTGGCCAACATGACAAAACCCTGTCTCTACTAAAAACAAAAAATTAGCTAGGCATGGTGGTCGGCGCCTGTAATCTTAACTACCTGGGAGGCTGAGGCAGGAGAATTGCTGGAACCGGGAGGCGGAGGTTGCAGTGAGCCGAGATCACGCCATTGCACTCCAGTCTGGGTGACAGAGCAAGACTCCGTCTCAAAAAAAAAAAATTGCATCGAAATCAAATTCCAGTTATCAAAATATTAATAAAAACTTTCAATAGAGTAAATTGAAACTGTCCCAAGATTGACAAGAATTGCATGCTGGGATCTGGGCAGAAATATAGTTATAATTAAGCATAAACCAGGCTGCACTTTGGCTCACTGCTCTATTCCTGCAAGTCTCCAGATCCTGACCATCTGCATCCCCGTTGTGCTAACATTAGGATGAGAATGTCTCTATATTATGATCCATTGTCTCTATATTTAAAAAAAAAAAAAAAAAGAAGCCAGGCACGGTGACTTACACCTGTAATCCTGACACTTTGGGAGGCTGAGGAGGGCGGATCACGAGGTCAAGAAATCCAGACCATCCTGGCCAACATGGCAAAACCCTGTCTCTACTAAACATACAAAAAAATTAGCTGGGCTTGGTGGCGCGCATCTGTAGTCCCAGCTACTCAGGAGGCTGAGGCGGGAGAATCTCTTGAACCCATGAGGCAGAGGTTGCAGTGAGCCAAGATCATGCCACTGCACTCCAGCCTGGGTGACAAAGCAAGACTCTATCTAAAAAAAAAAAAAAAAAAAAAAAAAAAAAAAAAGACCAGCACTGTGGCTCACGCCTGTAATCCCAGCACTTTGGGAGGCCAAGGTGGGCAGATCACGAGGTCAAGAGTTTGAGACCAGCCTGGGCAACATAGTGAAACCCCATCTCTACTAAAAATACAAAAAAATAATGGCATGAACCCAGGAAGTGGAGCTTGCAGTAAGCTGAGATCCTGTCACTGCACACCAGCCTGGGTGACAGAGCGAGACTCCGTCTCAAAAAAAAAAAAAAATTGCTGGACGTGGTGGCGGGTGCCTGCAATCCTAGCTACTTGGGAGGCTGAGGCAGGGGTATCACTTGAATCCGGAAGGTGGAGGTTGCAGTGAGCCGAGATCGCGCTACTGCACACCAGCCCGGGCGACAGTGTGAGACTCTGTCTCAAAAAAAAAAAAAAAAAGATAATTAGTCACCATGGCTGGGTGCAGTGGCTCATGTCTGTAATCCCAGCACTTTAGGAGGGCAAGGCAGGTGGATCACCTGAGGTCAGGAGTTCGAGATCAGCCAGAGCCAACATGATGAAACTCCTTCTCTCCTAAAAAATACAAAACTTAGCTGGGCGTGGTGGCGGGCGCCTGTAACCCCAGCTACTCCGGAGGCTGAGGCAGGAGAATTGCTTGAACCCAGGAGGAGGAGGTTGCAGTGAGCTGAGATCATGTCACTGCACTCCAGCCTGGGTGACAGAGAGAGACTCCATCTCAAAAAAAAAAAAAAAAAAACCTAAGGCGTGGTGGCACATGCCTGTCGTCCCAGCTACTCAGGAGGCTAGGGTGGGAGGATCACTTGAGCCTGGAGGTTGAGGCTGCAGTGAGCCATGACCATGCCACTGCACTCCAGGCTGGGCAACAGAACAAGACGCTGACTCAAAAGGAAGAAAAGAAAGAGAAGAAAAGTCTATCTGGGTATGATGATGACTCCTAATATCTTCTCTCTGGTGGTTGATCTGGTTATTTGATAAGATCTCTAGGCAGGAGGTCTTAAGACAATTGCACTTCTTTTGCAAAGAAGTTTTTTCAGTCAGATAAGGAAATTCCAGAAAGTGTGGTAGGACAATTCTAAGGCAGCTTCTAAGGCCTCTCAGCATTTCAAAGCACCAGTCTTTGGGGTATCACTTTCTGAGCCCCAGCATCTTCTTGCATGTCTATTCTTTTCCCCTCATCTCTGTTTCCTTCTCAGAAGGCCCTGAGTTTCCTTCTCCACCCGCTTGTCTTCCTATATACCCTTCAGTATTCACTTTTTTTGGTGGGGGGGATGGAGTTTCGCTTATTGCCCAGGCTGGAGTGCAATGGCGTGATCTGGGCTCACTGCAATCTCCACCTCCCAGGTTCAAGCGATTCTCCTGCCTCAGCCACCCAAGTAGCTGGGATTACAGGCATGCGCCACCATGCCTGGCTAATTTTGTACATTTAGTAGAAACGGGGTTTCTCCATGTTTGTCGGGCTGATCTCAAACTCCTGACCTCAGGTGATCTGCCTGCCTCGGCCTCCCAAAGTGCTGGGATTACAGGAGTGAGCCACCGCGCCAGGCCTAGTCTTCATTTTTGTCCCACAGTCAGAGCAGCTGTCATTCTCTCTATCCCAGGCAGTTTTTCTGAGCATCTAAGCACTGTCTCACCCCAGTAGTCTGTCAAGCCATTCTCAATGGAAAGACCAGTCTGGGAGGCAGTCTCACTCAGAATAAAAGCCAGAGTCTTTACAAGGCCCTACCCAAGCTGACCTCCTCCTCACCTGGCTTCAGCAGCACAGGCCTCCCTGCTACTCCATGAACACTCCAGATATCCACACTGCTCTCACATCAGGGCCTTTGAACTTGCTGTTCCCTCCACCTGAAATGTTCTTCTCCCATTGTGATATTGTTATAATAAAAATATATATTTTTGGGCCCGGGTGTGGTGGCTCACACCTGTAATCCCAGCACTTTGGGAGGCCGAGGGGGGCAGATCACGAGGTCAGGAGATCAAGACCATCCTGGCTAACATGGTGAAACCTCGTCTCTACTAAAAATACAAAAAAAAATTAGCCGGGTGTGGGGGCAGGCACCTGTAGTCCCAGCTACTCGGGAGGCTGAGGCAGGAGAATGGCGTGAAACCAGGAGGCGGAGCTTGCAGTGAGCCGAGATCGCCACTGCACTCCAGCCTGGGCGACAGAGCGAGACTCCATCCCCCCACAAAAAAAAAGGCCAGGCGCGGTGGCTCATACCTGTAATCCCAACACTTTGGGAGGCCAAGGCGGTCAGATCACAAGGTCAGGAGATCGAGACCATCCTGGCTAACATGGTGAAACCCCGTCTCTACTAAAAACACAAAAAATTAGCCGGGCGTGGTGGCAGGCGCCTGTAGTCCCAGCTACTCAGGAGGCTGAGGCAGGAGAATGGCGTGAACCTGGGAGGTGGAGCTTGCAGTGAGCGGAGATCGCGCCACTGCACTCTAACCTGGGCAACAGAGCAAGACTCCATCTCGGGGAAAAAATAAATAAATATGTATATATATGGGTTGGGTGTGGTGGTTAACACATGTAATCCCAGCACTCTAGAAGGCTGAGACCAGAGGATCACTTGAGCCCAGGAGTTCAAGACCAGCCTGGGCAACCTGGCGAGACTTCATCTCTACAAAAAATTTTAAAATGAGCCAGGCATGGTGGTGCGGGTCCCAGCTGCTTGGGAGGCTGAGATGGAAGGATTGCTTGAGCCCAAGAAGTTGAGGCTGCAGTGAGCTATGATGGTGCCACTGCACTCCAACCTGGATGACAGAACAAGAAACTGTCTCAAAAAAAAAAAAAAAAAAAAAAAAAAGGTCAGGCACGGTGGCTCAGGCCTGTAATCCCAGCACTTTGGGAGGCCAAGGTGGGAGGATTACTTGAGCCCAGGCAGTCAAGACCAGCCTGGGCAACACAAGGAGACCCTGTCTCTAAAAAAAATTTTAAAAATTAGCCAGGTGTGGTGGCACATGCCTGTAGTCCCAGTTACTCAGGAGGCTGACAAGGGAGGATCGCTTGAGCCTGGGAGGTCAAAGCTGCAGTAGCCATGTTTGTGCCACTGCACTCCAGCCTGGATAACAGAACGAGACCCTGTCTCCCTGTCTCAAAATATTAATGTGTGTGTGCGTGCGTGCGTGCGTGTGTGTGTGTGTGTGTGTGTGTGTGTGTGTGTTTTGGTCTCCATCCTGGCTCCTGGCCAGACCTCCTAAAGCCCTTGTAATTTCCTAAATGATAAAGTGAAGGGAGCTTTTGTTATTCATAACAAGCTCTTTTCAACCACAACTGAGTTTATGTTAGTAAGTTGACTTTTAGAAAGCCCCTAAGGTTGGGGTTTGTTGCCAAGGTAGGCAACTGTGTGATTAGAGAGTTAGAACTTTTAGCTCCAACCCTCTGACCTCCAACTAATGGCTATTGAATCAAGTATGCCTGCATAATGAAGCCTCCATAAAAAAAAACAAAAAAGATGAGGGTTGGAGAGCTGCCAGGTTGATGAACACATGGAGGTGCAGGGAGGTGCCCAGAGAGGACAAGAAAGCTCCAAATCCCCCTTCCCCGATACTTTGTCCGGAGCAACTCTTCCATCTGACTGTTCCTAAGTTTTATCCTTCATAATAAACTAGCTAACATAAGTAAAGTGTTTACCTGAGTTCTGCGTGCTATTCCAGCGAATTACTGAGCCAGAAGAGGGAGTCATAAAAACAGTTAGGAGGCCTGGACTTGTTTGTGATTGGTATCTGGAGTGGGGGCAGCCTTGTAGAACTGAGCCCTTCAACTTGGGGATTAGATAACTGGTAATTATGGGTAGAGTGTCAGAACTGAATTAAACTGCAGGACTCCCAGTTAATATCTACCAAGAACTGAAGAATTGATTGGTGTGGGAGAAGTCTCCACATGATTGGTGTAAGAAGTGGTGTTCTTGGCCAGGCGCAGTGGCTCACGCCTGTAATCCCAGCACTTTGGGAGGCCGAGGCGGGCCGATCATGAGGTCAGGAGATTGAGACCATCCTGGCTAACATGGTGAAACCCTGTCTCTACTAAAAATACAAAAAATTAGCCAGGCATGGTGGCGGGTGCCTGTAGTCCCAGCTACTCGGGAGGCTGAGGCAGGAGAATCACTTGAACCTGGGAGGTGGAGGTTGCAGTGAGCAGAGACTGCACCACTGCACTCCAGCCTGGCCAACAGAGCAAGACTCCATCTCAAAACAAAATAAAACAAACAAACAAAAAAAACTGAGATTCTTTGCAAAGAGCCTGGAATAACTTCCTTTTAGTCCTGGACTATAATGATGATGATAAATATACCTCGATGTAACCCTGAGATCCCAAGATTCACTAGCCCTTGAATAAAAAAAAGGAAAAAGAAAAAAACAGTATATTTTTTCGTTTTGCAAATCACAGTTCCCTTATTAAGATGGAATTGCTGCCAATTACAGAGAAGCTATTTGCCTAAGCCAAAAATCCATGAGGTTCACATGGACTTACAGTTACACAAATTAGAAACAAATGTTATATTTAAAACCATAGAGAAATGCCCAGGTGATGAAAGCTGGGGTGAAGGAGTCTGCACATTCATTTCAAACTGTTAAAGGATTTGTGGGCCATGCAATGGTCCCTTGCATTAGAGAAGTCAAAGAGCTTTGTGCAATCCTCTCCTGTCTGTGATCTGGAAGACACGTGCTCATCACAGAGCTCCAGCTGCTCCGAGACTTTACTCCTTTCTTCAGCTGCACGCACTGCTCTCTCGCTTTTGTTAGGAATTGACTAATTCCTCCTCTTCCTCTTCCTCCTCCTCCTTGCCATCTCTAGGCCCAGTCAGCATCTCTTGTTCATCCTCTGATCCCATGTCCAGCTATGGTTCTGGATTCAACACTAGCAGCAACAGTGGCGCTGACTCCACTTTAGGATCAATAAATATTTTTCTGGCTAGGCGCAGTGGCTCACATCTATAATCTCAGTACTTTGGGAGGCCAAGGTGGGTGGATCACAAGGTCAAGAGATCGAGACCATCTTGGCCAACATGGTGAAACCTCGTCTCCACTAAAATTACAAAAATTAGTTGAACATGGTGGTGCGCACCTGTAGTCCCAGCTACTTGGGAGGCTGAGGCAGGAGAGTCGCTTGAACCCAGGATGTGGAGGTTGAAGTGAGCCAAGATCGCGCCACTGCACTCCAGTCTAGCGACAGATGGAGACTCTGTCTCAAAAAAAAAAAAATAAGTATTTTTCTTTCTAGCCGTATATCCACCTTACATGGTCCCTCAACTCCCCAAGCCCACTCTGCCTGCCCCATCTCCTCCTTCCACATCCTCTCCTCAACCTAGCACTTGGTTGGCAATGCCTTCCTCGATCCTCTGCCAAAGACCCTCTAGCCAGTGCTTACCCTGTCTGTTCTCTCTCTTTACCCAAAGAAATACATAAAGTTTGACCAGAATGGAAACAGAGATATCAGTGAAAAAAGGTGATTTGGGGAAGTGTGCAGGCCTAGGAAGACAGAGGCTTGTTCCTTTGCTTGCTTAAAATCTTTGATCAAACGGCCAGGCGTGGTGGCTCACACCTGTAATCCCAGCACTTTGGGAGGGCGAGGTGGGCGAATCATGAGATCAGGAGTTCAAGACCAGCCTGGCCAACATAGTAAAACCCCGTCTCACTAAAAATACAAAAAATTATCCAGCTGGGCGTGGTGGCAGGTGCCTGTAATCCCAGCTACTCTGGAGGCTGAGGCAGGAGAATCACTTGAACCCGGGAGGTGGAGGTTGCAGTGAGTGGAGATTGCACCACTGCACTCTAGCCTGAGTGACAGAGTGAGACTCCATCTCAAAAAAAAGAAAAGAAATCTTTGCTCAAATATCACTTTTTCAGAGAACGCTTCTCTAACCACTCTATTTATTTTATTATTTTATTGTATTTTTTGAGACAGGGTCTCACTCTGTTGCCCAGACTGGAGTGTAATGGCACAGTCATGGCTCACTGCAGCCTTGATCTCCTGGGCTCAAGCGATCCTCTCACTTCAGCCTCCCAAGTGGCTAGGACCACAGGCGTAAGCCACCGTGTCTGGCCAGACCACCATATTTAAAACTGGGGACAAGTCAGGCTCACACCTGTAATCCCAGCACTTTGGGAGGCCAAGGTGGGAGGATCACAAGGTTAGGAGTTCAAGACCAGCCTGGCCAACTTGGTGAAACCCCATCTCTACTAAAAATACAAAAATTAGCCGGGTGTAGTGGTGATCGCCTGTAATCCCAGCTATTCGTTAGGCTGAGGCAGGAGAATCGCTTGAACCCGGGAGGCAGAGGTTGCAGTGAGCTGAGATTGTGCCACTGCACTCCAGCCTGGGCAACAGAGCGAGATTCTGTCTCAACAAAAAAAGCTGGGTGCAGTGGCTCACGCCTGTAATCCTAGCACTTTGGGAATCCGAGGTGGGTAGATCACCTAAGGTCAGGAGTTCAAGACCAGCCTGGTCAACATGGTGAAACCCCGCCTCTACAAAAATACAAAAATTAGCTAGGTATGATGGCAGGTGGCTGTAATCCCAGCTACTCGGAAGGCTGAGGCAGGAGAATCGCTTGAACCCAGGAGGCGGAGGTTACAGTGAGCTGAGATCAAGCCATTGCACTCTAGCCTGGGCGACAGAGTGAGACTCCGTTTAAAAAAAAAACAAAAAACAAAAAACAAAAAACTGGGGACCATTGGCAATAATACTCCTATGTCCCCTCTTCCCTACTTTGTTTTCCTCCATAGGCACCTGGCGCCTTTTTTTTTTTTTTTTTTTTTTTGAGACGGAGTCTCACTCTGTTGCCCAGGCTGGAGTGCAATGGCGCGATCTCAGCTCACTGCAACCTCTGCCTCCCGGGTTTAAGCGATTCGCCTGCGTCAGCCTCCTGAGCAGCTGGGATTACAGGCACGCACCACCAGGCCCTGCTAATTTTTGTATTTTTAGTAGAGATGGGGTTTCACCATGTTGGTCAGGCTGGTCTCCAACTCCTGACCTTGTGATCCGCCTGCCCCAGCCTCCCAAAGTGCTGTGATTACAGGCGTGAGCCACTGCGCCTGGCCACCTAGCACCTTTAATATACTTATTTATTTGTATTGTCTGCCTTCCCCAATTAGATCAACCATGAAGACAAGAGTTTTCATTTGTTGGGTTCTCTGGGCCTAGAGGCATGTCTGGCATATAGTAAGCATTCAGTAAATATCTGTTGAGTGAACGTATGAATAAAGAAGTGAGTTCCTCCCAGCAGGCACTGAGAACATTGGGAGTACAGGGTTGCAGCTCTCTCTGCAGCAGGAGAATGTAGCTGCAATAAAGGGAAGTCAAGAAGCCAGAGTCCAGCCAGGTGCAGTGGCTCATGCCTGTAATCCCAGCACTTTGGGAGGCTGAGGTGGGTGGATCACAAGGTCAAGAGATAGAGACCATCCTGGCCAACATGGCGAAACCCCATCTGTACTAAAAATACAAAAATTAGCTGGGCGTGGTGGTGGGCGCCTGTAGTCCCAGCTACTCAGGAGGCTGAGGTAGGAGAATTGCTTGAACCCAGGAGGCAGTGGTTGCAGTGAGCCGAGATTGCACCATTGCACTCCCGCCTGGGCGACAGAGCAAGACTCCAACTCAAAAAAAAAAAAAAAGCAGCAGCAGCAGCCAGAGGCCACTCCAGCATCTCCCCTACCTGGCTTGGGTCAGGGAGAGGGCAGTGAGAAGTGAAAACTCCCAGCTACAGAAAAGGAAATATGTTGGGGGGAAGGGAGAAGGAAAGGTGTCTTCATCAATGCCGGGGCAGGGTAGATGGAGCCCTGGGCAGGGAGTTTGGACCAGGAAATCTCAATGAGGGAAATGTGCTGTCCTCACCTCTCCAAGAAGCGACTGGCCAAACAGAGTGACAGAGGGGATAAAGGTTATGCCTAGGGAGGCATGTGTCAGAGGCTATCATCCACTCTGTTGAACCCACAGTGACCAGCACCACCATCACACAAACATGCCTGCATGTGTGCACGCACGCGCAGTGTGCAAACCTGATGTCAGCCTCACTCCCTGGCTCTTCTGTCCACAAACGCTGTTTCTTTAAGTACCACTTTCAGTTCCTCCAAAGAATCTACTTAAACTCTTAAATTCCTGATCTCTATAGATTTTACTAAAGATTTCAAAGGAGATAAGATGAGAGGGTTACGTTGCACATTCTAAAGCAAACAAATTAAAATGTTTTGTTAGACATTTCCATATTTTTAAGGGCCTCCTTGGAGCTGCCAGGCTGGGAGTGAGGTTTCTCTCCCTTTCTAAACCCTGTGCCCATCTTGTCACCCTCCTGGAGCTGCCAGCAGACTTCAGATTCTTCTCCGATCTACAGAGCAGAAAAATTCAGCCAGCCCTTCCTTGTCTTCCTATCCACAGCTGCCTGCCCAGACTCATGAAACCTGACAAAATGCAAGGTCTTATCATTACCTGAACCTTGGACCTGTTCAAAAATACTAGTTCCTGAGAATAAATATCCCTGGTGTCTTCCTGCCCTTCCTGCACACCTCCAGTGGCTTATCAAAATATTTGTTTCATGCGCACACTGGGCTCTCATTTAAGAGGAATTTGGGAGAATGTTATTTTCTAATCTGCATTTCACACCAGGCTCCCCCTCCTTCCTGGGGTGCTAGTGTCAGCAGAACCTGATGGGGAAGTGAGGTCTGGGAGGCAGAGGAGGAAGGAATGAGGGGAAAGGGGAAGTTTGGGAGGAAGGCTTCTGAGAAGACTGGTGGGAGAGAAGGAGAGCCTGCAGACAGAGGCCTCCAGCTTGGTCTGTCTCCCCACCTCTACCAGCATCTGCTGAGCTATGAGCCAAACCAGGGATTTACAGGGTAGGGAGGGTGGGATAGGCAGCAGCATTAGATCGGAGGAATGAGATGGACAGACCTGGGCTGTGGGCTAGGAGGGCAGTCAGCTGGCCTAGAGTAGCCCGGGCTGGTGTCAGGGTAAGGAGAGGAAGGGAGGGATGAGGGCTGATTAATTTTTTTCACCCCACAGGAGGAAAAGCTTTCGGACTGCTGAAGGCCCAGCAGGAAGAGAGGCTGGATGAGATCAACAAGGTAGAAGGAAGAACTAAGGGGGCAGAGCCAGGGGGATGGGGCGTGGATGGGGAGGGCCTACCCTGGCTCTTATTTTCCCCTCCATAGCAATTCCTAGACGATCCCAAATATAGCAGTGATGAGGATCTGCCCTCCAAACTGGAAGGCTTCAAAGGTGAGGGGGAAACTGTAGGCGGTGGAGACAGGGCTGGGGGTAGGAGGGTTAGGATTTCCACAAGAACAAGGCAGGAACAGCAGAGATAAAAAGTTTACTTTTGTGGTAGCAAAAGGGGAACCTGCCTTTATTGCCCTCCTGCCACACTGCGGTCCCTTTCCCGGGCCTGCCTCTCTCAGCATCCCCTCTAGCTCCTTACACCCTAGCGGGGCCCCTCAACTCCCCAACCCCACTTCCTCTGCCTGCCCCTCCTCCTCCTTCCACGTTGTCTCCTCCACCTAGCAGTTGGTTGGCAACCCCTTCCTCAGTCCCCGGCTGAAAACCCTCCAGTCAGCGCTTATCCCTTCTGCTCTCTCCCCTCACCCAGAGAAATACATGGAGTTTGACCTTAATGGAAATGGCGATATTGGTGAGAAACGGGTGATTTGCGGGGGCAGGGTGGTGTGCAGGCCTAAGAAGACAGAGGTCTCTCCTACATGCTCCATTCCTCATGATTTGGGAGGGGGCCCACCTACCACAGTGGGAGGAAGGAGAATGGGGATGCGGAAGTGGGAGAGGAGAGAGAGGGTCTCCCCACCTTCTCCCCATCCCCATCCTCTGCCCCCAGATATCATGTCCCTGAAACGAATGCTGGAGAAACTTGGAGTCCCCAAGACTCACCTAGAGCTAAAGAAATTAATTGGAGAGGTGTCCAGTGGCTCCGGGGAGACGTTCAGCTACCCTGACTTTCTCAGGATGATGCTGGGCAAGAGATCTGCCATCCTAAAAATGTGAGTGTCAATTTCCAACCTCCCCTGTACTTACCTGTTTTCTCCTCCCCCATCCCTACCCTTGTCCACAGGCTCAACATTTCTACACGTTGCCCATCATCCCTTCTTCCATCCTTAGAGGGACCCTTCCAAGGTCCCGACCCCATCCCTATCCATAGTCCTGGTCCCCAGAAACTCCAACCCCTGCCCTTCCTCTTCCCCCTTCCACCCTCACATCCCCATCCCCTTCTAGCCTTTCCTAGCACCCTATGATTTATTCCCTTGAGAGGAGTGTTCCCTGATCCCTGTGCCTCTTCCCATCTCAACCAGGATCCTGATGTATGAGGAAAAAGCGAGAGAAAAGGAAAAGCCAACAGGCCCCCCAGCCAAGAAAGCTATCTCTGAGTTGCCCTGATTTGAAGGGAAAAGGGATGATGGGATTGAAGGGGCTTCTAATGACCCAGATATGGAAACAGAAGACAAAATTGTAAGCCAGAGTCAACAAATTAAATAAATTACCCCCTCCTCCAGATCAAGTCAGCTTAGTTTTTATTTGGGTGATTTTTTTCCTGGGTTTGGGAAGGAGAGACAGGTCTTGAGGGAAAGGTGGCAAGGATTTGGCCATATGAACAATCCATCAACAACGCTATAGTGTGTCCACTACAGCAGATGGTTTCACGCACCAAGGGGGATTCCAGCTGTGTAAGACAGCCTTAACCTCAAAGAATGCAGGCAGGACAAAAACACATGTCCAAACAAGGTACTCAGGCCCATGACAGATTTCATGAAGAGCAAGGAATACCATGAACCAACATTCTCCACCACTATAAGCTTTGTCACTTTGACAAATCACTCAGCCTCTGTGAGGCTTTTTTCTAAAAATGGGGATAAAGTGACCTATGCTATTGTGCCTGACATATCATAAGCCCTCAATAATGTTTAAAACTTGAATGAGCTGGGGCCGATGGCTTATGCCTGTAATCCCAGCACTTTGGGAGGATGGGGTGGGCAGATCACCTGAGGTCAGGAGTTCGAGACCAGCCTGACGAACATGAAGAAACCCCGTCTCTACTAAAAATACAAAATTAGCCTGGTGTGGTGGCGCATGCCTGTAATCCCAGCTACTTGGGAAGCTGAGGCAGGAGAATCTCTTGAACCCAGGAGGTGGAGGTTGTGGTGATCCGAGATCGCATCATTGCACTCCAGCCTGGGCAACTAAAAAGCGAACTCCGTCTCAAAAAAAAAAAAACCGAACATACAAACAAACAAAAAACACTTGAATGGGTAGATGAATGAAAGAACTGGTGCTATTAAATAAAGCAAAGAATTTACAGCTGGGCGTGGTGGCTCACGCCTGTAATCCCAGCACTTCAGGAGGCCGAAGCGGGCAGATTACCTGAAATCAGGAGTTGGAGACCAGCCTGGCCAACATGGTGAAACCCCATCTCTACTAAAATACAAAAAATTAGCTGGGCATGGTGGCAGGTGCCTGTAATCCCAGCTACTCGGGAGACTGAGGCAGGAGAATCGCTTGAACCCGGGAGGTGGAGGTTGCGGTGCGCCGAGATCACGCCATGGCACTCCAGCCTGGGTGACAAGAGTGAGACTCTGTCTCAAAAAAAAAAAAAAAAAAAAAAAAGACTGGAAGGAGAAACTCATTGGAGACAATGACTATGGACATCCCTTTTAAGAATTTTGCTGCAAAGGGTAACAAAACGGTATGTGTGGTAGCCGGCCGGGGAGAAGGGAGAAGAGAATCATTTTGGAAGTTTGAAAACAGAAGTCATCTTAAATCTTACTGAGCCTCTGACTAAAATTCTCATCTGATTTCTGCAAACTTTTCTGCCTTCACTTTTCATAATGAATAAGCCGCCTCCTTTATTTAGCCATATCAGCCTAGGCACAGGCCCCCAAACTCATGCCTCCACTAATCTGTTCTCTGCACCTGAGATGTACACCTTCTTCTGAAACTTGGGTAAGTTCTAACTCGTTCTTCATATCTATTTATTTATATATTTTTGACAGATATCTACTCCGATCATTCTTCATATCATTTTTTTTTTTTTTTCCTGAGATGGAGTCTCATGTTGGCCAGGCTGGTCTCCAACTCCTGACCTCAGGTGACCCACCCACCTTGGCCTCTCAAAGTGCTGGGATTACAGGCGTGAGCCACTGCTCCCGCTCCCGGCCCTTTTTTTTTTCTTTTTCTTTTTTTTTTTTTTTTGAGACGTAGTCTCACTCTGTCGCTAGGCTGGAGTGCAGTGGCGTGATCTCAGCTCACTGCAACCTCCGTCTCCCAGGTTCAAGCGATTCTCCTGCCTCAGCCTCCCAAGTAGCTGAGACTACAGGCACGCGCCACCAGTCCAGCTAATTTTTGTATTTTTAGTAGAGACGGGGTTTTGCCATGTTGGCCAGGATGGTCTCCATTTCTTGACCTTGTGATCTGCCCGCCTCAGCCTCCCAAAGTGCCAGGACTACAAGCATAAGCCACCACGCCCGGCCTCATATCTCTTAATAAGAGTTTTTCTAGAAACATTTCTCAATCACCCCAGGCATAATCATATTTTATTTCTCTACTTCTTTCTTTTTTTTTTTTTTTTTTGAGATAGAGTTTCGCTCTTGTTGCCCAGGCTGGAGTGCAATGGCACGATCTTGGCTCACCACAACCTCCGCCTCCCAGGTTCAAGCGATTCTCCCGACTCAGCCTCCCGAGTAGCTGGGATCATAGGCATGCGCCACCACGCCTGGGTAATTGTATTTTTAGTAGAGACGGGGTTTCTCCATGTTGGTCAGGCTGGTCTCGAACTCGTGACCTCAGGTGATCCGCCCGCCTGAGCCTCCCAAAGTGCTGGGATTACAGGCGTGAGCCACCGCGCCCATCCTTCTTTTTTTTTTTTTTTTTTTTTTTTTTTGAGACGTAGTCTTGCTCTGTCACCCAGGCTGGAGTGCAACCTCCGCCTCCCTGGTTCAAGGAATTCTCTGCCTCAGCTTCCCGAGTAGTTGGGATTACAGGCGCCCGCCACCACGTAGGGCAAATTTTTGTATTTTTAGTAGAAATGGGGTTTCATCATGTTGGCCAGGCTGGTCTTGAACTCCTGATCTCGTGATCCACCTGCCTAGGCCTCCCAAAGTGCTGGGATTACAGGCGTGAGCCACCGCGCCAGGCCTTATTTCTCTACTTCTATAATATCCTGTGCATTATCTCCAGCGCCTTCAAATCATAGTCATTGAATGATCTGTTGAATGGGTATAACTCTGATGGGAGCAGAGAGTTCTAGAATCGGGTAGTAAGAGACAAAGGAGGGTAACAGTACTGCATTTCACAAAATGAAACCCATTGTTAAGAAATTACAAATTCCCAATAATTTCAAATATAAAAATTTATTCATGAAAATTATAGGTTATAAAATTAAATGTCCGTCTTAGTCGATGGTTGCCCATATTTTGATGAACGAGTCATTCCTAGCCTATCTTTGTTCAAATGATTTGCATACATTATGCAAATAGGTAGAACTGCCCGAAGAATGCCTACGCTGCGTGGTGCGGACGAAACGCTTCCCGGGGCCTTTGGATTGGTCTGTCTAGCCACCTCATTTGCATGACGTAATTTAATAACTGGAAGGCCCCGCCCCTCTGGTGCATTTCCCCGCTCCAACCACCTCCTCAAACTCACGGCAAAGGGATGCGAGAGCTGGAACTCTTACCAGGCCTGCGGAAACTCAGCCCTCCGGCAGCTAATCCCGCCCGCCAGCCCCCGTCCTCTCTTTCTCCCTAGCTGAAGGCGCCACGGGCCGTGTGTCGTTGCCTTCCACTTTTGGCGTCCCAACGTCTCTCCGCTCCCATCTTTCTACTAACGTCCGACGCACGCTCCGCCTCTTTCTCCCACATTCGTCGTGTAAATTCTGCGTCCCAACCGCCCAGCCGACCTGCACCGCATTCCCGCCCCCTCAACACGGCTCAACGGCCGACGCTGGGGGCCCGCCTCCTTAGCCAATCGGGGTCCTAGTGCCCTTAAGTCCCTCCTCTTTATGCAAATAACCTCCGCATGCTCCGCGCGCCCGGCCCTTTTTTTTTTTTTTTTAAACTAAAGACAGCCCTGGAAGTAGAGGGTTAGGGTATAAAGTGCCCCGCCCTTTATGCAAATTAAGGGGCGTGTCTAGGCGCGGAGGGAGGTGGGAGGTGGGAGGGGGTGCTCCCGGGGGCGGCGGTTGCCCGGATGGGCCGTTAGTCGGGGCTCAGCCGCGGAGTGAGCGAGGGAGACGGGAGGAGCCGAACCCGGCGCCATCCGCCGCCATCCTCCCCCGCCCCACCGCCATCCCGTCCCGGGGAGCCCCTAGGCCCGGGTCCCGGATCCCCGCGCACCCGGCCAGGTGAGTCTGGGTGAACCGTGCGCTGACGCCCTTTTCCGGCGCGGGAGAGGTGGTGGCGGTGGCGGTGGCGGTGGCGGCGGCGGCGGCGGTGGTGGGCCGGGGGGAGGAGAAGCTGCCATTAGCCGCCGCCATTTTGTCCTCCTGCTGCCGGGCCTGCTTGCCCCTCCCCCTCCGGTACCTCTACTCCGGGACCCGCACCTCCGGCAGTTCATTCAGGATCCGTAGTCTGCCCCTAACCACCCACCGTCTTGGCTTCAGGGGGTGACCCCTGCGCCTGGGTCCGTAACTCCCTACCCTCCGCTGCGCTCCTGGCTTTTCACCCCCATTTGTGGGCCCCCTCCCCGGCTGCCGCCCCGTGGTGGGCCGCGCCCGACGGTTCTCTCGGAAGGGCGCTTTTCCTCCATATTGGACCCCCTCCTATCATCCAGCGCTGTGTTCCCCCCTCTGGACGCCCCTCTTCGTGTCGAGCCACTCCCACTCTAGAATCCTGCTTTTATCCCAGCATCTTTGCTTTCTATGTTGCTCAGTCGCCCTATGTCTGCTTTTTCATTTTTCCTGTTCCTCGTCTCCTTTCTCCCCCAACCCCGTTTTTCTTCTTGGGCCTCTGCCCCCTTACTTCGTTGTCTACATCCTTTTTTTTTTTGCCATTCCTGTTTCCATATATTTTCCACCTGCTTTCGTATTCATTATTTTCTGTTAGTTTTGGTCTATTCGCTACATGACTCTTGTATTCGTTTTCCCTTCATATATTTATCTTCACAGATTGGCCTCCTCAAACACCTACGAAGCAACATCCATCTTATCTCTAGCTTGTCATAAAGTTCTTTCTCCCCAATTTTAGCTTTCATTCTGGGCCTGTCTGGATTTCCCTGCTTTCTTCCCCACTATTTCTCATCTCTTTACACTGTTCCCGTCCATAAACGAATGCCTGGTCACTCTGGAATGGACTGAGAGACCTGTCGTCCGGCTTGCTTAGGGAGCTGGAGGTATCGAGTAAAGAAACACTGGTGATGGACATTTTTAATGAGGATAGGAAAACGAAGGTGGCTCTGGCCTTGGCCCTCTGTTTTCTGGCCCATGGTTACAGGGTGCTAAGGTGGCTCCATAATGCTTTTTCTCAGTTCTTCATATGGTAAAACAGTATTTCATCTGGAGGCGATTTTTTCCAGGAGCCAATACAGGAGCAAGTTTAGGAAAAGATGGGATATTTCAAATACTTGAGGTTCCTATAGCCTGGGAGTATGTACAGCCCTAGTTGTTCTATGAGGATTTCTCTGGTACCAACCCCCATTCCGGCTGAGCAAGCTCATAAAATCCTTAAACTCCCAGCATACCTTCCTGCAAACCTTCCCAGATGGACACGAGGCTGCTGGGCTGGGAGCCTGGGGTACAGGGCCCTGGGGGCATGATTAGGGAGCTTGTGTCCAATAAACAGGGAATCTAAAGTGTTGTTTCTTCTTCTCTGATGGAATTGTATGCTTCTTTTTTAGTTTTCTCTTGCTTGAATTTGTCCTGTTGTAAGTCTCTGAAACGATTTTGGTGGAGAGAGAAGAGATTATTACTTGTAGGGAATTACTCTTTGTAGACAGGCACAAAGGGCAGAGTGTTTATACTAGGAGGATGCTGGATTTTTACTTAGATTTCCTTGACAAAGGTGTCTGGGGGAAAGGAGGGAACATGGCATTTGAGCTATGAGGGAGCTAAGTAGATCATGGTTGCTTAAGAAGAGTGGGCAGTTTACATAGACTGGAGGAAAAGACACCAGAGGGCCTCATATCTGAGTCCCTAATGATAATGCAATGGAGTTTTTAAGTTTCTGTTATGGTCTGTACAGGGGACAGAGACTGAGACACTTGCTGTCTGGCCCACAGGCTCTGGCACGTTTTGGGGGAGGTGCCTGCAGGACCCAACATACTCAATGAGCTTCCAGCGCAATGTCCGATCGCTCGGGGCCGACTGCCAAGGGAAAGGATGGAAAGAAGTATTCCTCGCTCAACCTGTTTGATACGTATAAGGGCAAGTCCTTAGAGATCCAGAAACCCGCTGGTGAGAGTCCTGCAAAGATGCTTCTGATGGTTGAAAGCTAGGCATGCATGGGGCATACGTTTTAGAGCTCTTTAAAGGGAAGTGGCTGTAGTAGAAATACCAAAAGACTAGAGGAGATTTCCCAACTTTACACTGGGTCCTTTAAAGGGGGTGTGGGCTCTGGGTGAACACCAGTTATCCTCCTACAAAGGCGTGTCTGTGGTTCCCTGTCTTTGGACATGTAAGAATTGGAGGAAAATAAATGTGGATTTGGGAAACTTTGAGGCCAGCTTGCTTCTTGCAGGCTCATGATCAACCAATCTCACATAAAAGTATTGAATGTTACATATCTCAGCCTTCTTGATAGGGATTTCATAGATTTTTTTTTTTTTTTTTTTTTTGAGACCAAGTTTAGCTCCTGTTGCCCAGGCTGGAGTGCAATGGTGTGATCTTGACTTACCACAACCTCCACCTCCTGGGTTTAAGCGATTATCCTGCCTCAGCCTCCTGAGTAGCTGGGATTACAGGCATGCGCCACCACACCCGGCTAATTTTGTATTTTTAGTAGAGACAGGGTTTCTCCATTTTGGTCAAGCTGGTCTTGAACTCCTGACCTCAGGTGATCCGCCTGCCTCGGCCTGCCAAAGTGCTGGGATTGCAAAGTGTGAGCCACCACAATCAGCGCGATTTCAGAGATTATTAAGGGCAGGGGAAGGAATCCCTTCTAAGAGAAGTTTGGAGGAAGTAGGTAATAAAATATTCAACATGTATAAATGTGTCCCAGGATAGGAGGCCATCAGATCTCCCACATGAGGCATTTTCGACCCTCTCTCCGTCTTGTTCTCCAGTTGCCCCTCGCCATGGCCTGCAGAGTCTCGGGAAAGTTGCCATTGCCCGGCGTATGCCACCTCCAGCCAACCTTCCAAGCCTGAAAGCCGAGAACAAAGGCAATGACCCCAATGTCTCACTAGTGCCAAAAGACGGAACAGGATGGGCAAGCAAACAGGAGCAGTCCGACCCCAAGAGGTAGACAGAGGCTTGGGGGACCTAGAGTGATGGGTATTTTAACTTGAACTTCAGGGAGCATTGGGGCTTGGTTTAGTCCAGCCACGTCTGAGCCAGAGACGAAGAGGTCCCTTTCTTACCTATTGCAGGTTCCTTGTTAAATGACTAAGGAATGGTACTAAACTTTAGCTTTTTGTCTTGGAGAGAGAGCATGAAAAAATAGACAACAGCCTACAAAGGATGACAAAATTATTTTGTCCTTGTATTTGTAAATGGTAGCAATGGGCATGATTTCAGTCCTGAGTCTCCACCAGTTGGAGAAGTCAGGGAGGCATCTCAGGTGTGAATAACCTTCCCATTCTGTCCCCTCAGTTCCGATGCCTCAACCGCTCAGCCGCTGGAATCGCAGCCACTGCCGGCTTCACAGACGCCTGCCTCCAACCAGCCGAAACGACCCCCAGCAGCCCCCGAGGTACCTGGAGAACTGGAGGGGTGGGGAGGAAGAATGGTTCATAGCTGCCCCACCCACATCATTTATCATCTTTCTGAACACTTCCCCAGAACACTCCTTTGGTTCCAAGCGGGGTAAAGTCCTGGGCACAAGCCAGCGTCACCCATGGAGCACATGGAGATGGTGAGTGCAGCACTTAATTGGGGAGCTGTGTCTGGGCACCATGGGATGCATGAACCCTGCACTGTATTTTCAGCCAAGTGACCTTGGTCCTCTTTGGCTAAATCAAGGACCACCCATATTCAGTTTCATGGAGGCACATGAGCAAGTTTAAGTCTCAGTCTTATATGATGGAGTGTAGTGGTGCCAGAACTGACCTCCTTGGGGAATAAGCAGTTATTCTGTAGGGGGGTGAGTTTGAAGGCGGGAAACCTGATGGTCTGGTACCTGTCAGAGCCTTCCACTTTTTTTTTTTTTGAGACGGAGTCTCATTCTGTCACCCAGGCTGGAGTGCAGTGGCGCAATCTCAGCTCACTGCAACCTCTGCCTCCTGGGTTCAAGCGATTTTCCTGCCTCAGCCTCCAGAGTAGCGGGACTACAGGCACACGCCAACACACCCAGCTAATTTTTTGTGTGTTTTTAGTAGAGATGGGGTTTCACATGTTGGCCAGGATGGTCTCGATCTCTTGACCTCGTGATCCGCTCGCCTCAGCCTCCCAGAGTGCTGGGATTACAGGCGTGAGCCACCGCGCCCAGCCAGAGTCTTCCACTTTTATAGCATGTCCTCAGGAAATGTCTTCTGTCTCCTGTTCTGCATCCCCATCCTAATAGGTGGAAGGGCATCAAGCCTACTGTCACGATTCTCTCGAGAGGAATTTCCGACCCTGCAGGCGGCTGGCGACCAGGACAAGGCTGCCAAGGAAAGGGAGTCTGCCGAACAGTCGTCTGGGCCCGGACCAAGCCTCCGCCCCCAAAGTGAGTGGCTGCCTTTTGGCCAAGACATTACCTATTGCATCTCAGAGCTAGGTGCTGGCTTATTCACCTTCCTCCCCATCACTTTCAGCTGTGTTCACTTGTCCTCCAATCATTGATACCTCTCTCTACCTTTTCCAAAATACAGATTCTACAACTTGGAGGGACGGAGGTGGGCGTGGCCCTGATGAGCTGGAGGGCCCGGACTCCAAACTTCATCATGGTCATGATCCCCGGGGTGGGCTACAGCCTTCAGGCCCACCCCAGTTCCCTCCCTACCGCGGAATGATGCCGCCTTTCGTGAGTCTTGGTGTCTTGTCTTGGAACGATTACACTGGAAGCTGGAGAGCTAGGAATCAGGACTTAGTCTTTGACCTATGAGATAGAGGGGAGGGTGGGAGGATGATTGATAGCAGGCTTAAGGAGCTAGAAGGGTATATGACTGTCCCTCTGAGCAGCTACTGTTGGACCCTTTTACAGATGTATCCCCCATATCTCCCGTTCCCTCCGCCCTATGGACCCCAGGGGCCTTACCGATACCCCACTCCTGATGGGCCCAGGTGAGCAATCCAGGTCTGGGTTTGTGGCTGGGGGCAGGGGAAGCTTATTGGGGGAGGAGATGGTTTTCTAGCCAGGAGGCTCAGTCTAGGATCAGTCTCGCATGTGGTTATACAACATGCCATATTTCATTTTCTTTTTTGTGTACAGCCGTTTTCCCCGTGTGGCGGGCCCCCGAGGCTCAGGGCCACCAATGCGCTTAGTAGAGCCTGTGGGTCGTCCCTCTATTCTCAAAGAGGATAATCTCAAAGAGTTTGATCAGTTGGATCAGGAGAATGATGATGGTTGGGCAGGTAAGTGGATATTAAGGGTCAAGAATTTGGATCTTGAAAGGCAAAACCTAATGAGGAAAAAAAAATACAGGGTTATGTGGGTGAAAGGCAGACATTGAAGTGTAGGAAGACCAGGCCCAATGGCTCACATCTGTAATCCCAGTGCTTTGGGAGTGTTAGGTGAGAGGATCGCTTGAAGCCAGGAGTTCAAGACCAGCCTGGGCAACACAGCAAGACCCCCCACCTCTACAAAAAAAAAAAAATTTTTTAGTTGGGTGTGGACTGTGCATCTGTGGTCCCAGCTACTCTGGAGGTTGTGGTGGGAGGATCAGTTGAGCCCAGGAGTTGGAGGTCACAGTGAGCTATGATCGTGCCACTGAACTCCATCCTGGGCAACAGAGCGAGACTTTTAAAAGGAAAAAAAAAAAAGAGTAGGGGAGGATGGATGGGGAATACCAAGTCCTTGCAAAGTGGTGAGAGGAGTAAGAATGACAAGACTTCATTGGTGGATCTAGACTTCGGAGGGAAGGATATTGGCATTGGTAGTCCATCTTGTTACATAGTTCCAGACTACCTCCCAAGATTGGAGGGCAGAATGCTTGGGTTACTAATACTCATATTTCCCCTCAGGGGCCCATGAAGAGGTTGACTACACTGAAAAGCTCAAGTTCAGCGATGAGGAAGATGGGCGAGACTCTGATGAGGAGGGAGCTGAGGGCCAGTGAGTTAGGGCCATCAGGGGAGAAGAGGAGGGGGTCTTGGTTTGTATTTTGGTAATATACTCTTAGAGGAGTATATTAGTTGCAGCTGATTTTAATTTCACTGTTGATCTGCTCACAGCAGGGATTCCCAATCAGCTTCTGGTGAGGAACGGCCCCCTGAAGCAGATGGCAAAAAGGGCAACTCCCCCAACAGCGAACCGCCCACTCCTAAGACGGCCTGGGCAGAAACCTCTCGGCCTCCAGAGACAGAGCCGGGACCTCCTGCCCCAAAGCCTCCCCTACCCCCACCTCACCGGGGCCCCGCCGGGAACTGGGGCCCCCCTGGGGACTACCCAGTGAGTGTCTCCAATAAGGGATTGAGAGGGTCAGCTGTGGGAAATTGGTGTCAGCTGAGTAATTGAAGCGGTTGTGATATAGAGGAAGGGGGGTGCTAAAAATGGGCTGTGTGAAGTGCCAGGCTGCAGAACATCCTGGGAAGCTTTTAAATATCTTTGGTAATAGGGGAGTCTGGGTAAGAAGTGAGAAACTGGGATGCTAATGAGGAAAGAAGAAAAAGGAGCCCTGGGTGTTTGGGTTTCGGAAGGAGAGAGGGAACAGAAAAATAAAAAGACTAGGGTGGCTAGATAGCTGGATCTGTTAGTATGCATCAGTAGTCCAAGCTACTCAGCAGGCTGAAGCAGAAGGATCACTTGAGCCCAAGTTCAAGACCAGCCTGGGCAACATAGCAAGACGTGGTCTCAAAGAAGACCAGGATAATGAGTTTGTCACCACCCAGAGAGATCAACCCCAAAGCCTGGGTCGTTGCATCCTGCAAGTAGCGACAGTTGATTTGTTGTAAAAGAGATGGTAGAAAGCATAGTAACTGATTCCCCTGGCCCTGCTGGGTCTTGCCAATTGACAGGATCGTGGGGGTCCTCCCTGCAAGCCCCCAGCACCTGAAGATGAGGATGAGGCATGGCGGCAGCGACGAAAGCAGTCGTCATCTGAGATTTCCCTGGCAGTGGAGCGGGCCCGGCGACGGCGAGAAGAAGAGGAGCGGCGCATGCAAGAAGAGCGCCGGGCAGCCTGTGCTGAGAAGCTCAAGCGACTCGATGAAAAGTTTGGGGCACCTGACAAGCGGCTCAAAGCAGAGCCTGCTGCCCCACCTGCTGCCCCTTCTACCCCAGCTCCACCACCTGCAGTCCCTAAAGAACTCCCTGCACCTCCAGCTCCACCTCCAGCATCAGCCCCAACACCAGAGAAAGAACCTGAAGAGCCAGCACAGGCCCCTCCTGCCCAATCTACTCCTACTCCAGGTGTGGCTGCGGCTCCCACTCTGGTGAGTGGTGGTGGCAGTACCAGTAGCACCAGCAGTGGCAGCTTCGAAGCCAGCCCAGGTATGGAGATGGGGATAGGTACTACCAGATGTCAGATCACTGCTTCAAGGTGCTTAAAGGTGCAGGGTGGTAAGGCTGGGGATAAATGAAGTAGAAGGCAGTTGTTTTGGTTTATTGGACTATCAGTGATAGTGTTCTATCATTTGTATATCTGAAGGAGGGAAGGTTTTGTCTGGAATCTTAGGTTGTAGTCTAATACCATTTCTTGGCAGAGTACTGTAGCTCACGCCTATAATCCCAACACTTAGGGAGGCTTGGGGTGGAGGATCGCTTGAGCCTAGGGAGTTTGAGACCAGCCTGGGCAACAAAGCAAGACCCTGTCGGCCAGGCATGGTGGCTCACACTTGTAATCCCAGCACTCTGGGAGGCCGAGGCGGGCAGAACATGAGGTCAGGAGTTCAAGATCAGCCTGGCCAACATAGTGAAACCCGTCTCTACTAAAAATACAAAAATTAGCCAAGTGTGGTGGCATGTGCTTGTAGTCCCAGCTGCTTGGGAGGCTGAGGTAGTAGAATCGCTTTAACCCGGGAGGCAGAGATTTCTGTGAGCCAAGACCATGCCATTGCACTCCAGCCTGGGTGACAGAGCAAGACTCTGTCTCAAAAAAAAATCCTGTCTCACAAGAAATACATAAATAAAAATGAAAACTATTTCCTATAGGCCAAGACTGAAGAAAGTACTGTTGTTCTAATGGTTTCATAGAAAGTTAATGCCACCACCATAGGCTCATGAGAGGCCATGAAGTGCTTTAATGGGTCTTAAATGGGAGGGGCTTCAATAGAATAGATGTTGAATAGAATATTTTAGTCTTAAGGGAGCTAGAGATGAGACGTGAGATTCCTGGGGTGTTCATGGAGTGTCTATTGTTGGACTAGATCACTCTGTTGTGTTTTTTCCGATGCAGTGGAACCACAACTGCCCTCAAAAGAGGGTCCTGAACCACCAGAAGAGGTTCCTCCTCCTACCACACCCCCAGTTCCAAAGGTGGAACCCAAGGGTGATGGGATTGGTCCCACCCGCCAGCCCCCTAGTCAGGGCTTGGGCTACCCCAAATATCAGAAGTCGTTGCCTCCTCGTTTCCAGCGGCAGCAGCAGGTGAAATCAAGTTGTTTACCCTCTAAGGGCTGCTTTTCTTCCTGGCTTCGGTCCCTAATTCTCTTCATAAGTTACCTTCTGGGTCCCTTTGCTTCTTTGTCCAGTTGTCTCCATTGTCACGCCAATTTCCCCTAGTCCAAGTTTTTTCTTTGCTGATTCCTTTGTCCATGTGTGCTTTGAGCCTCTCTCATCTTGTCTTTCCTCCTTTCCTAGGAGCAGCTCCTGAAGCAGCAGCAGCAGCACCAGTGGCAGCAGCATCAACAGGGCTCTGCCCCTCCTACCCCAGTGCCCCCATCACCACCACAGCCTGTGACCCTGGGGGCTGTGCCAGCTCCACAGGCTCCACCCCCGCCCCCCAAGGCCCTGTACCCAGGTGCTCTGGGCCGGCCCCCACCCATGCCCCCAATGAACTTTGATCCCCGATGGATGATGATTCCTCCTTATGTGGACCCCCGGCTCCTCCAGGGTCGTCCCCCTCTAGACTTCTACCCTCCTGGTGTGCATCCCTCTGGTAAGGGGGCATGGGAGGAGTGAGAAACAGGAAAGTCCCCTCAGTCTTAGGCATTGGATATTAGGGTCTTACTGTGACTCTGGTACGATAGGTTTTGCCCATCATAGTGATGAGGGAAGGGCATATGCTTGGCACTGCTGAGATAGCTCTGTTGCAAAAATGGGCTTAGTTAAGAAATAAGCAGTGGTTGGCCAGGCATTGTGGCTCACGCCTGTAATCCCAGCACTTAGGGAGGCCGAGGTGGGCAGATCAACTGAGTTCAGGAGTTCGAGACCACCATGGCTAACGTGGTGAAACCCCATTTCTACTAAAAATACAAAAAAGTAGCCGGCGTGGTGGCGCTCGCCTGTAGTCCCAGCTACTCGGGAGACTGAGGCAGGAGAAACGCTTGAACCCAGGAGGTGGAGGTTGTAGTGAGCCGAGATTGTGCCATCGCACTCCAGCTTAGGCAACGAGCGAAACTCCGTCTCAAAAATGAATGAATGAATAGCACAACTCCATCTCAAAAATGAATGAATGAATGAAAGAAGCAGTGGTCCTTCATTTGCCAGGATTTATTTGGGGTGGGTTGATTCTCTTGTAGGGAATCTGAGTGGATAACCTTGTTATATAAGAGCAGGCAAGGCCCGGACCTACTGGGAACAAGAGATGGAAGAGCTGACTTGACCGCGAGGGGAGATGCTTTTTGGGCTGGAGGGCTTGTGACATGAATAGGATTATTTTTCTTTTTCTTTGGTTTCTTCAGGCCTAGTTCCCCGAGAGCGTTCAGACAGTGGGGGCTCAAGCTCAGAGCCATTTGACCGTCATGCACCTGCTATGTTACGGGAACGGGGCACTCCACCGGTGGATCCAAAGTTGGCCTGGGTAGGAGATGTCTTCACCGCCACACCCGCTGAACCCCGCCCACTTACCTCACCTCTGCGCCAGGCTGCGGATGAGGATGACAAGGGGATGAGGTGAGTCTTGGTCATGAGAAATGGGTGAGTTCACAGTGAAAGGATCTAGGCCTGGGAGAAAGGTACTTTGGGTTAGTGGTAGGGATAGGGATGAACGGGAAAGGAGAGGCTGGATGGAGTGGCTCATGCCTGTAATCCCAGCATTTTGGGAGGCTGAGGCAAGAAGATTGCTTGAGCCCAGCAGTTCGAGACTAGCCTCGGCAACTGGATGCCATCTCTGCCAAAACAAACAGAAAAATAGTAAAAGAGAGTCTGCATCATAATAAAGTGTTCTTTTCCCACCTAGTTCTGGTTTTCCTGAGATACTTATTTCCATTCTTTCTGTCTGTCTCTTCAGGAGCGAGACTCCTCCAGTACCTCCCCCACCACCCTATCTGGCCAGTTATCCAGGCTTTCCTGAGAATGGAGCCCCTGGGCCCCCAATCTCTCGCTTTCCTCTGGAGGAACCAGGGCCCCGTCCACTCCCCTGGCCCCCAGGCAGTGATGAAGTGGCCAAGATACAAACTCCACCACCCAAGAAGGAGCCCCCTAAGGAGGAGACTGCACAGCTGACGGGGCCAGAAGCAGGCCGAAAGCCTGCCCGCGGAGTCGGGAGTGGAGGCCAGGGCCCCCCACCACCACGCAGAGAGAGTCGCACAGAGACCCGCTGGGGCCCTCGTCCAGGGAGCAGTCGTCGTGGAATCCCTCCAGAGGAGCCAGGGGCCCCACCCCGCCGGGCTGGGCCTATAAAGAAACCTCCACCACCTACAAAAGTAGAAGAGCTGCCTCCCAAGCCCCTCGAACAGGGGGATGAAACCCCCAAACCCCCAAAGCCAGACCCACTCAAGATAACCAAGGGGAAGCTAGGGGGCCCCAAGGAGACCCCACCCAATGGAAATCTTTCCCCTGCCCCAAGGCTTCGGAGGGACTATTCGTATGAAAGAGTGGGTCCTACCTCTTGCCGGGGTCGGGGCCGAGGCGAGTATTTTGCCAGAGGGAGGGGTTTTCGGGGGACCTATGGGGGACGAGGGCGGGGAGCCCGAAGCCGGGAATTCCGCAGTTACCGAGAGTTTCGAGGAGATGATGGGCGTGGAGGTGGGACAGGGGGACCAAACCACCCTCCTGCTCCCCGAGGCCGCACTGCCAGCGAGACACGGAGCGAGGGTTCAGAGTATGAGGAAATCCCCAAGCGGCGCCGGCAGCGGGGCTCAGAAACAGGCAGCGAGACCCATGAGAGTGATCTGGCTCCTTCAGACAAGGAGGCTCCCACACCCAAGGAGGGAACACTCACCCAGGTCCCTCTCGCTCCCCCACCACCAGGAGCCCCACCTTCACCAGCCCCAGCCCGCTTCACTGCCCGGGGTGGGCGAGTCTTCACTCCCAGAGGGGTGCCATCTCGCCGGGGCCGAGGAGGAGGGAGGCCCCCTCCTCAAGTTTGCCCAGGCTGGAGCCCTCCAGCCAAGTCTCTGGCTCCCAAGAAACCTCCCACAGGCCCTTTGCCACCAAGTAAGGAGCCTTTGAAAGAGAAGTTGATCCCAGGGCCTCTGTCCCCTGTGGCGCGCGGAGGCAGCAATGGAGGTAGCAATGTGGGCATGGAAGATGGGGAGCGACCCCGAAGGAGGCGACATGGGAGGGCTCAGCAGCAGGATAAACCGCCTCGTTTCCGGAGGCTGAAGCAGGAACGGGAGAATGCCGCAAGGGGGTCTGAGGGCAAGCCCTCCCTAACCCTTCCAGCCTCCGCTCCTGGACCTGAGGAGGCCCTCACAACAGTCACAGTGGCCCCAGCACCTCGCCGGGCAGCTGCCAAGTCTCCTGATCTGTCAAACCAGAACTCAGACCAAGCCAATGAGGAATGGGAGACTGCATCAGAGAGCAGTGACTTCACCAGTGAGCGCCGAGGGGACAAAGAGGCACCCCCACCAGTACTGCTGACACCCAAGGCTGTGGGAACTCCTGGGGGAGGTGGAGGTGGAGCCGTACCAGGTATTTCAGCCATGTCCCGCGGAGATCTGAGCCAGAGAGCCAAGGATTTGAGTAAACGGAGCTTCTCAAGTCAGCGGCCAGGCATGGAACGGCAGAATCGGCGCCCTGGCCCAGGGGGCAAGGCTGGCAGCAGTGGCAGCAGCAGTGGAGGAGGCGGTGGGGGTCCTGGAGGAAGGACCGGGCCAGGACGAGGCGACAAGAGGAGCTGGCCCTCTCCCAAGAACCGAAGGTGGGTAGGAACAAACAAATTTATTGTGGTTTAAAAATTGGAGGAGGGGGAAAAAGCCTGAGGGAAAGATAAGTTTGGGTGGAGTGGAGATTGTGGCCTGAGGGGCCATGGGCTCTAGAATGTCAGTAGGATTTCCATGTCTGGCTAAGGCAACTGGAAAGCGGTTGGTAGGGTGTTAGAGTCAAGAACACCCACCTATGTATTCATTGCTGGTTCTTTGCTTTCCAGTCTGTGCATCTGTATGCATAGGAATCCTTAGAAGGACTCAAAAACACCTGGACTTTAATAGGGAAGAGAATAGGTTGTAAGCAGAAGTTGGGAAACATAACTTGTGGGAAAAAGTAACGATTTAGTGGATACTGGAGCTAATGCTCTGTTTTCTCCAGTCGTCCTCCAGAGGAGCGTCCCCCGGGGCTTCCCCTGCCTCCCCCACCTCCCAGCAGTTCTGCTGTCTTCCGCCTGGACCAAGTTATCCACAGCAACCCTGCTGGCATCCAACAGGCTCTGGCCCAGCTTAGTAGCCGTCAAGGGAGTGTAACTGCACCAGGGGGTCATCCAAGGCACAAGCCTGGGCCTCCCCAAGCCCCTCAGGGCCCCTCTCCTAGGCCCCCAACCCGATACGAGCCCCAGAGGGTCAACAGCGGCCTCAGTTCTGGTAAGCTGGAGGGGTTATGGGTGGGAATATCTCCATCCCCAGAGAAGGTCAAGTGCTGGAGGGAGCGGGTGGAGAACCTGGCCTAGGGACCCTGCTGCTGGGTGCGTTTCTGCAGGGAGCAAGGGTAGAAGAATTGGGAGGTGGAGTAGAGAGGAAAAGTTAGGGTCAGTGGCAGAGCCAGGCAGATGCTGACCCTTTTTCTCTTTCCCAGACCCCCACTTTGAGGAGCCGGGGCCAATGGTGAGAGGGGTGGGTGGGACTCCTCGGGACTCTGCCGGGGTTAGTCCCTTTCCCCCTAAACGTCGGGAGCGGCCTCCCAGAAAACCAGAGCTGCTACAGGAGGTAAGGGATGGGTTTGAGATTGTGCTTCACTGCACTCTTACTCGTGAAAATTCTTCTGGGTTATGTTTTCTCTGTTTTCTTTCCTGTTTCTTTCACTGTGTTTTTACTCCAGAATTCTCAGTATTAGTCTCCCATGTGTCTCCCTTGTTGTCCCCACACCCTGTGTCACCCCACTCTGTCCTGGCTTCCTATAATTCCCAATTCCCACCCAATTCATGTTTTGCTTCTGGCCCTTCTCATCTGTAGGAATCTTTGCCACCTCCTCATAGCTCTGGATTCTTGGGCTCTAAGCCTGAGGGCCCAGGCCCTCAGGCAGAGTCCAGAGATACAGGCACAGAGGCCCTGACCCCTCACATCTGGAACCGTTTACATACTGGTGAGTAAAGCTGAGTGAAAGGACTATGGTAGAAGGGTTAAGAATGAGAGGGGCTTCTGAACTGTCATCTCCTCACTTCTCTTCTGGTTGGTGCTCCCTTCTCCAGCCACTAGCCGAAAGAGTTACCGGCCCAGCTCCATGGAGCCTTGGATGGAGCCCCTGAGTCCTTTTGAGGATGTGGCTGGCACAGAAGTGAGTGAGGGTGGGAGGGTGTGTCTGAGCTGGGACTTTTTTGAGCACTGGTCATACCCCCCACCTGCTCTGGGTTGAGTCTGGAGCTGTTCTCTCACTTGGCTGTCCCCTTTCTGCAGTTTGTATGTGTGCATCAGTCAGGTATTGGGGTGCTTTCTACCCTGACTTAACTAGCTCCTTCTCCACTCCTCTCAGATGAGTCAGTCTGACAGTGGGGTGGACCTGAGTGGGGATTCTCAGGTGTCATCAGGTCCCTGCAGCCAGCGAAGTTCCCCTGATGGAGGACTCAAGGGGGCAGCAGAGGGACCCCCCAAGAGGCCTGGAGGCTCCTCACCCCTGAATGCTGTTCCTTGTGAGGGTCCACCTGGCTCTGAACCTCCTAGGAGACCACCACCTGCCCCCCACGATGGGGACAGAAAGGTAAAAGACCAAAAAAGGATAAGGGGAATGTTTCCAGGAATCTGACTTTGGCCCTACCTTTTTCTGCTTTTTCTCTCTGCGTGTGTGTTCTGGGCATTCCAATTTGGATTTCCCTTTCCCTCCCCCAATGCACTTTACTGTGTGCCCAATCCAGGAGCTGCCCCGGGAGCAGCCTCTGCCCCCTGGCCCCATTGGCACAGAACGATCACAGCGTACAGACCGAGGCACAGAGCCTGGCCCCATTCGGCCATCCCATCGACCTGGTCCCCCAGTCCAGTTTGGCACTAGTGACAAGGTCTGTGTGGGCTGGATCTGGGTATCCTGAGTTGGGTGGAGAGAAGGGAAGGACTAAAGGTGGGACATAGAGGACACATGTCTGTCACGGGACAATGTCTCCTGCCTTCTTGTGATCACAGGACTCAGACTTACGCCTAGTGGTAGGAGACAGCTTGAAAGCAGAGAAGGAGCTAACAGCATCAGTCACTGAGGTAAGTGGGAGTAAGAGTTTGGTGGAAAGGCCCAAGATTTCTGGGGAAGATTGCTGGGAGTGACCAGGGCGTCCAGGATGCCAGACATCCCTCTCCACGAGGCCTCTCCTTCCCAGGCCATTCCTGTATCACGAGACTGGGAGCTGCTTCCCAGTGCTGCTGCCTCTGCTGAGCCACAATCCAAGAACCTGGATTCTGGGCACTGTGTCCCGGAGCCCAGCTCCTCAGGCCAGCGCCTGTATCCTGAGGTTTTCTATGGCAGTGCTGGGCCTTCCAGTTCTCAGGTAGGCCCCGCTTCCCATTGCATGACCCCTTCAGTGAATAATAATTTTTTTCTGCCTGGTATGTATTTATAATCAAGCCTTTCTACGTTGCAGAGTTGTGAGATACCACTTTGTCACATCATTTTTCTCCCTACTTTTTGCTTCTATGGGTGGGATGGTGATCTTTTTTCTTGACCACAGATACTAAAGCTGTTTCAACCGTGCTCCTCTCCTGCAGATCTCTGGGGGAGCCATGGACTCTCAATTACATCCAAACAGTGGAGGCTTCCGCCCTGGGACACCCTCACTGCACCCTTACAGGTAAGACTCGATGCCTGTGGATCACAGAAGTACTTGGAGATGTGTTTCGGGGAGAGGGAAGGGGAAGACACAGTTCTAGGGTACTAGAAGCTAGTGGACTTAAGGCATTGCTAGGACTCTGGCTTCCTAACAGCTTTTCTCCCCACAATTTATTTTCAGATCACAGCCCCTATACCTACCCCCCGGCCCAGCCCCTCCCTCAGCACTGCTCTCTGGGGTAGCTCTCAAGGGCCAGTTTCTGGATTTCTCCACAATGCAAGCTACAGAGCTGGGGAAGTTGCCGGCTGGAGGAGTTCTCTACCCTCCACCTTCCTTCCTCTACTCTCCGGCTTTCTGCCCCAGTCCTTTGCCTGACACATCGTTGCTTCAGGTAAGAGGGGGGCAGGTATTAGATATTGGGGGATAGGGTAGGGAGAATGATTTTGTGGGGGTTGATATATTTCTCCCTGTTTCCCGACAGGTACGCCAGGATCTGCCATCCCCTTCGGATTTTTATTCTACTCCTCTGCAGCCTGGTGGCCAAAGTGGCTTTCTCCCTTCAGGGGCTCCTGCCCAGCAGGTATATTGTATCTTCACACTTCCCCTTCATTTGATTTCTCTGTCCAGTTGCTGGCTTTGATTTTCCCTGGTTTTCTGACATTCCTCCCTGCCCCCAACATGCACACCCAAATTTCTTGTTACAGATGCTTCTACCCATGGTAGACTCACAGCTGCCTGTGGTGAACTTTGGCTCCCTGCCGCCAGCACCACCTCCTGCCCCACCTCCCCTTTCTCTGTTACCTGTGGGCCCTGCTCTGCAGCCCCCCAGCCTGGCTGTGCGGCCCCCACCTGCTCCTGCTACTCGGGTGCTGCCTTCACCTGCCAGGCCCTTCCCCGCTAGCTTGGGGCGAGCAGAGGTAAGGTACAGGAACTGAGGGGCTAGGGAGCGCCAAGACTTGGGAGTAGGGATTCTGTATTTCAAGGTAGGCAGCTCATGATTTTTTTCCCCTCAGCTGCATCCAGTGGAACTAAAGCCGTTCCAGGATTATCAAAAACTGAGCAGCAACCTTGGGGGACCTGGATCATCACGGACTCCCCCAACTGGAAGGTGAAACGGAATAGGGATGTGGACTTTCCAAGTGCTTCCTTACTTTGGAACCAGGGTCTGGATCCTAGGCTTGCCTTAGACGCCCTTCTTCCCTTAGGTCCTTCTCTGGCCTCAATTCCCGTCTCAAGGCCACGCCTTCCACCTACAGTGGAGTCTTCCGCACCCAGCGCGTCGACCTTTACCAGCAGGTGAAGGAGAAACCCTTGTGGCCCCAACTCTAAATTCGAGTTGCCACCTGATTTCCTGTCCTTCCGTCTCATCGCTGACCTCTCACTGTGACTCACTCTTTAACACATGCCTGTCCCCTAGGCCTCCCCACCAGATGCCCTGCGCTGGATACCTAAGCCTTGGGAGCGGACAGGGCCGCCACCTCGAGAAGGGCCCTCCCGACGGGCAGAGGAGCCTGGGTCCCGAGGGGACAAGGAGCCTGGGTTGCCCCCACCCCGCTGAGGGAGTTCCTCTTGCCCCCTACCCCCGGGGCTTGTATATAGATTATAAATATATAAGGGGGAAAGGGGTGGGCGGGGAGGGGTTGTGGGGCTGGGGCCTCACTTCCCCTCCTCCCCCTTCCCCTGGTCCCCTGTCCCTGGGGCTGTTTGTTAAAAAAGAGTAATAAAAGGATTTAAAAAAAAAAACTTCTACAATGATTTGGGGGATGAGTTGTTTGCATTGTCTTAAAGCATGGTGCTGAGTGATCTGTAGTTTCAGTCAGGGAAATATTCATTACTTATTCCAGTGAGCTGTTGAAACTAAAAACATGACCATCGTATTGGATCTTTAAATTTTTGTGAGTCTGGAATTTGGGCTGAGCTCAGCTGGATAAATCTGCTTTTTTGTGCCAGTGAGCGAGGTCAACTGGTTATCAGTCTGCAGCTGACACCTGGGCTGGTCCCAATATGGCTTCCTTTGCATATCTAGGGCCTTGGTGGGACATCTGTAACATTACTGGGTTATCAACCAGTGTCTTCACATGGACTCTCCAGCAGGCCTGTTAAATGTCCGTGAGCTCATGTTCCAAGAGGTCTAGCTGGAATTTTCTAAGCTTATGCCATGCTTAGTTGATAGAGCACTAAACTAGCCAAGGTAGGGGATGGGGGGGTTTAGAAGGGACTTCAACTGCATCTCAAAGGGACTAGCAAAGAATTTGCAGCCATGGGACTTCAGTTCTTTATGATGAACTAAGGGGAAATCTCTGTTAAGGCCTCAATGTTGGAGCACACTTAAGGGGCTCTTTGAATTGGATAGACCAATTCCAGCATTGTCAAACTAAGTGGGATTTCACATGGTAACGCTGCATGCTAGTTATGCTAAAGACTATACTTAGGTCTGCAGCTGCTCAGAAACTTTTTTTGATGGGTAATTTGAGAGCTCTATGCTAGTGTGCACCTGGAATATGCTCCCAACTCAAAATACAGGTTTTTTATTTATATATAAAGTGCTTTCGCACAAAAAATACAAACACCAGGCTGGGCGCGGTAGCCCACGCCTGTAATTCCAGCACTTTGGGAGGCCAAGGCGGGTGGATCACAAGGTCAGGAGTTCGAGACCAGCCTGGCCAATATGGTGAAACCCTGTCTCTACTAAAAATACAAAAATTAGCCGGGCGTGGTGGCGGACGCCTGTAGTCCCAGCTACTCAGGAGGCTGAGGCATGAGTGAGAATCACTTGAACCCGGGAGGTGGAGGTTGTAGTGAGCCGAGCTCGAGATCGGGCCACTGCACTCCAGCCTGGGAGACAGCAATACTCTGTCTCAAAAAAAAAAAAAAACAAACATCAAAACTGGCTTGTACAATTTAGCGTGCTGAGTAGAACACAACAGTGTTCCAAGGAAGTATTAATTTAAAAAAGTTCACACAAGATTAAGGGACACACTACCTAATGGAGACAATGTAGAGAGAAAGCAGCCAGAAAAATCCGACTTTTATTTCTTAAATACTGTGAAGGAAGAGGGGGGAAACGGTCCCCTGATGAGGAAGGGCCATAGAGCAAAGAGCTAAGGATCATCAGCAAAGGCCCGCTGGGCATTGGGGAAGCGCTGGGGACTGTAGTTGGGGTCTTCCTGCAGTCGTTTTTGTATATCAGACCGGAGCTAAAGAGAAAAAGTAAGCAGGTTGGAGAAAGGCTGGCCAAGTCCCTATGATCCCAGCAAGCACACAAGGCCATCCCTCAGAAGCTAACATTTCCCCCCCCAAGCACACTGTCAAATAGCCCGGGGTGGCACTGTCAAGCCTTCCCAGATGCCAAAGGGGAAAACAAATGGTAGCACCAGGCTGACCAGTTCATCGCTGAAGGGATCCAGGGAAGAGGGACCCTAGCCCAACCCCTCCCACTAGACCATCCCTATTCTGCTTCAAGGTGGCACCTGCTGCCTGTAGCTCTCCTGAACCTCTGGTGCCTCCAGGTCCCGGCTCAGGCTCTCGGGGCTCGTCAGGGGCCGAGCTCCGGCTGCCTTAGCTGCCCGGCTCACAGCCTCTGAGAGAAGCAGCTGGGGGCCCTCACCCTGCATCGTCTGGGGGACAGGGGGTTGGGAGGGAAAAGAGGATCAACGTCAGATCCAGTGCCACCATCCGGCTCACCCTTTCCATGAGTCAACCACTCCACTGAGTCTCCATGCTAGTGGAGAGAGGGGAAATTAAGAGTCCAGGATGTGGTTTTTACAGCAGAAATGCCTTCCTAATTCTCTTTGGCACTAGCCAAAACTAAAGTGAATGTGCTTGAACGTGCTCTTCAAAACGAAAGGCAGAAGGGGTCAAGCCATCTGGGATTCAGAGCTAGGTAATCCACAAGAGGAAACCCACCTTAAAGGAAAATGGGATCTAAGCACATGGGGATTAGGCAGCTGAGCAACTAATACAGGACTGCTAGCAAACAGACTAAGGTCAAGTCCTGTATGGTTATGCAACAACCAAGAGCAAGTCTGAATCCCAGAAAAAGTTTCCTCATTAAACGAGGGGAGGGGAGACTGAATAACAAGAGCTCCCACCATCTCTACATAGTTTGATTCCAGGCATGACGGGGAAACCTGGATAGAGAGAGAGGCTTAGGGAAGAGGAAAACCAACCTTGCGTCTCTTGGCAGGCATACCACTGAGGTAGGCATCACTCAGAGGGGGCTGCGGTTTCACCTTCCGCTGGCTCTGAATGTCCTGCTGGATAATAGGGACCCATTCCTGGGGAGGAAAAGAGAAAATAGTAATGTCCTTGACTTTCAGCTGCCATGACCCACTGGATTACTTCCTGACACTTACTGGGGGGACTGCAGCTGCCCAAGGTTCTGTCTCAGCTGAAGCTCCATCCTGTTCATCCCGGGAGCCCCCCTCAGGAGCAGGAGGTGGACCTCGGGACATGGCCTCTTCTGCTGTTGTTCCAGGGGCTGGGGAAGCATTCTCCCGCTGGGTGTCAGATGGCGGGAAGAGCCAGGCTTCAGAATTTTTAGCCTCCAAACCTTTCTCCCCCAGCCCTCCACTCCACATTATCTGGCCCCTCAACCTCCCCCTCTCTAGAGTACCTGAGGCTCAGGGGAAGCTCTTTCTGCTCCCTGAACTTCCATTGGCTCCTCAGGAAGTGGCTGTGAAATTAAAGAACACCATACTTCCTCTCAGATCTCTCCAGTTCTCTCAAGTACCCTGACCCCATCGCCCAACAGGTCCCTTACCTGGGGGGGATCACCAACCCTGCGAACGTATCTGAGAATGGCATCAGGGCCTACAGGCATGTGCTCCAGTACCACCTGAAGCCTCAGTCCCATCATAGTGGTCAGCCAGCTCACCAAGGAGGGATTCACCCCACGAGACATACGACGCTGAGGGACAGAAAGCAGATTTAGAACACAAAACCCTCAACCACCTTTAGAAATAGATTAGATCCAGGTTACAGAATGTCAGTTTAGAAAAGAAAAATGAAAACTGCAGAGAATGGAAACCTCAGGAAACAAAAGGCTAAGGATCTGGGGCTAGGTGGTGCTTACAATTCGGCCA